>NC_000004.12:118466835-118618350 GCF_000001405.40 Homo sapiens
TTGTACGCAACCCTGGCATGTGATTAAAGGGAGAATAGGATTAATGTCCTTCTTGACAAGACCATCAGTGGCGTAAGACCAGGAGATAATTTATTTTTAAGAGCACTATCAATCTGAGCATGATTTGTGGCTGGCTTTCCAACTGGGCCACAACCCTCAGAAGAAGCTCCCCACTCCAGCCTGGCAACAAATACATTCCTCACCTTGATGAGTCTAAACCTCAGACAGCAGCCAGAAGCTGAAGAATCCCATTGCCTCCTCTGAAAGTGGGAGACTTTATGCACAGAAACATACAAGAGCAGGACCAAAGGCAGGGACCACACTGTGTCCACCACACCATCTCCAGCACCTAGCATCCAGCCTGGCATGTGGTGAGTACTCACCAACAGTTGGTAGCTAAATGATTCTAATAAATGATTGGATGAATGCATGTAAATTCTTTAAGTTTTAGCCTCAACTTTATTTGCAAGCTTATTGGTAAAGCTCAATCCAAATATTTATATATGACTTATAATATGCAGAATTTCCTTAGCAGGGGTAAGGTTCTTTGTGTGTTACCAGTAAGAGAGATAAAAGGCTTAGTATAAAATCATTTATCAGCTTACAGGCTGCATGGCACATCTTATAATACTCAGGCTGTATTAGCCACCGTATGATATGTGCTTTTAACTCTCAGATTTGAGAATTTGCTTATCTGAAATGTAAGAATTAATACCTCATACGTAACCTAACATCTTTTTTTGTTTCCTTGTAGACTTTTGTGAATGATGTAAGGATTCCGGAACAGACTTATATCACCTTGAAACTTGAAGATAAGCTGAGATTTGGATATGATATCCTTAAATGGTTTCATGTACTTATTAAATTTATTCAAATATGTTTACTCTGGTGTAAGTTAACATTTTTAAAACACAATTCACAATACAGATATGCCAGAATTTCTATTTATTGGGTGCATTCCTATACTAAAATACATATATATTTTTAGTTATTATGCCTCTTCCTAAAAGTAATCATGGAAAAGTTGGTGGACTCAGCTTTTATTTTTTCCTCTCTCTCTCTATTTATGTAGTTTCAGCATCAGTCTCACTGAAGTGCTATTGCATATATAATTTGAGCATCAAAGAATGTAACTGGGGAGAGGACAGGGGAATGTTTAATTTTAGTCCAGCCTAGGGATTGCTTTCAGGTGGAACACGATGCATGAATCAGCCTCCTGGGATGAATGTAAGAATTTAAACCTACTTTTCCTTCCATCCCTCCCGTTAACTGTTTTATGCATCACAGCTATATTGCCTATTAAATTCAAACTTTTCAATATCCTGTGTCTTCTAAGACCTACGCTCTCTGATTAATCCACATTATGCATTTAGTGTGTATTTAAATTTCTTATGTTTAAAATTAGGAATCTAATAATTGAACAAGGACATGACTGTATTAAACTGCATGGGGCAGCGTGAAGAATCTCTAGTGAAGGGAAGGAGCATGATTGCAGAAGAAGAAAGACATTTCCATTCATAGTAGGCAAGAAGCTTTGTAAAAAGGATTTATGTACATTTAATTAAAATACAGCTATTCCACATTATGCTGAAGGTTGTTTTTTTTTTTTTGAGTTTTAGTTTTTTTGAATTACTACTTTTATTGGGACTTTGGTAATAAAGAATGTATTAAGCATAGCAATTTGGATGGACTTTTGTCACCGTAGCAGAAAAAGCATAGTCTCAGCTAAATAGAGTAGATGCTTAAAGTAAATGTATTAACACTATAAAATTGTTCCTTGACATTTACAAGAAATAGTCCAGGTGCTGTGGCTTACACCTGTAATCCCAGCACTTCGGGAGGCCGAGGCGGGCGGGTCACGAGGTCAGGAGTTCAAGACCAGCCTGACCAACATGGTGAAACCCCGTCTCTACTAAAAATACAAAAAAATTTTTAAAATAACCAGTCATGATGGCACGCACCTGTAATCCCAGCTACTCCAGAGGCTGAGGCAGGAGAATCGCTGTAACCCAGGAGGCAGAGGTTGCAGTGAGCCAAGATCACACTACTGCACTGTAGCCTGGCAACAGAGAGAGACTCCATCTCAAAAAAAAAAAAAAATTACGAAAAATAATATTACAATTTTTAAAATTTTAAATCTAAAATTAAAGTTTTGTAGCATGCTTTATAATATTCACACTTGTAGAGCCAAAGGAATATACAAAAAGCCAAACCATTAAATAGTAATACTTGTATATATTTTAAGTCTTTAAAAAAAATGCTTCATGCAAAATAATTAAGAATTAGCATTAAAGCCTTAATGAATGGGTGTCATTTTCTACCAGCCTAAGTTTCATCAAGAACAAATACTAGTATATTTTGAATTTAGATACCTCCTTTAATCCATTTGGCATCAACTGTTTCAAATCATGAGAAAATACTAGGAAATTTAAGTTTTAGTAAAACTCTGTCAAGTTAACTTTGAATTTTATATCAAGAAGAAACTATTGAGAAAAAAACCTCACGCTTTTACACATAGTATACTATTTTCTTAACAGCAAACAGACATTTTTCTCTTACGTACCAGCTCATAATATGTCTGTCTAAAATTGCTGGGACAGATGTTTTGTCCCAAAGACTTTCTCAGAGTTGTGCACTTAGTGTTGAGCCATGACTACTGTCTGGATGCCCAGAGGAGGCTCATATAATTTTATTATTTTAAAATAGCATCTGTTAGCCAGGCACGGTGGCTCATGCCTGTAATCCCAGCACGTGGGGAGGCTGAGGCAGGCGGATCATGAGGTCAGGAGATTGAGACCATCCTGGCTAACACAGTGAAACCCCATCTCTACTAAAAATCCAAAAAAATTACCCGGGCATGGTGGCGGGCGCCTGTACTCCCAGCAACTCAGGAGGCTCCTACCTCCTACCTCAGTAGGAGAATGGTGTGAACCCTGGAGGCGGAGCTTGCAGTGAGCCGAGATCGTACCGCTGTACTCCAGCCTGGGCAACAGAGCCAGACGCCATCTCAAAAAAAAAAAAACCATCTGTTATAGTGGCAGAAATTATATACGTAATTTTAAAAGCAGATTTTATATATTTACTTGTTTCTGTGTTTAGCTATACTAGATTGAAGACATTTTTGTACTTTAATATAATTAAAATTAATCTTAATAGGCAGTCTATAAACTGCTATACTTTGGAGAGGAAAACTATTTTAATTAAAAAGCTACAGCAGGCTGGGCGCAGTGGCTCACACCTGTAATCCCAGCACTTTGGGAGGCCAAAGTGGGCAGATCAGTTGAGGTCAGGAGTTCAAGACCAGCCTGGCCAACATGGCGAAATCTCATCTCTACCAAAAAATACAAAAACTAGCCGGGCAAGGTGGCAGGTACCTGTAATCCCAGCTACTCAGGAGGCTGAGGCAGGGAGAATTGGTTGAACCTGGGAGGCGGAGGTTGCAGTGAGCCAAGATCGTGCCACTGCACTCCAGCCTGGGTGACAGAGCAAGACTCCGTCTAAAATAAATAAATAAATGAAATAAAATAAAATGCTACATCAATAGAAGGAGCAATTTAACATGGATTGAGACTAGAATTAGGCAACATAAGTCTTTTTTGTAACTGGAGAAATAAGTGATTTGGAAAAGCACATACTCAGTTGAAATATACAAGCTTTTAAAATGACTGTAAACTCATAAGGAGTACTAAAATGCTGCAGTAATCAAGAAAAACTTCAAAAAGTGGTAATAAATCTTCAGGTAGCCAAAAATGAGGCTGATAAGGAAAAGTTTATTCATTTCCTAATTATTTATTAAATGTCTCCTATGTGCCAGGCATAGTCCCAGTGGTTTGGGAAATATAACTGTGAATAAAATAGATCATAATCACTGTTCTCCTGTAGCCTACACTTTAATGGGGTTGAAGGGACTGACAGCACACACTAGAAGTGAGGGTATTAGAGGATGGTAAGTTCTATGGAAAAAAGTGAAAGTGGGAGGCAGAGAGCTAGTGTTGGTAAGTGGGAAGTTAGAGTTTTAAAAAGAATATTCACGAAGACCTCAATGAGAAGCCAGCACTGGGGCAAAGATGTGGAGAAAGTAAAGAAGTTAGCCATATGGATATATGGAGATATTGTCCTGCAGACAGATGAGGGTATAGTACAAAGGACTTGAAGCAGAGACATGTTTGACATATTGGAGGAATAGCATTTAAAAGCCAGTGTGGTTGGAGCCAGCAAAGAACATGAGTATATTAGGAGTCAGAATATATCAGTTCTCATAGGACATTATAAGGATTTTGACTTTTATTCTGAGTGAAATGGGTAGTCTTTGGAGGTGTTTTTGTTTTTGTTTTTTAAATCAGAGGAGTGATAAATGACATACATCTAAAAAGATCCTCTGGCTACTCTTGTTCAAAGAAAACTAAGGGTGGAGTGGGCAGGGGTATGAAAAGAGAGACCAGTTAGGAGGCTATTGCAGTAATTCAGGTGAACGGTAAAGGAGGTTTGGACCAGGGTGATATATCTGGAAGTAGAAATGAAAGGATTCTGTGTATATTTTGAAGATGTAGCCAATAAAATTTTCTGATTAGACTGGATGTAGAGTAAGAGAAAGAGTCAAGGATGAACCAGAATTTAGGCCTGAGCAATATGAAAAAGGAAGGCATCCTTTTAATAACTGATAGAGAATTCTGTAGGTAGAGCAAGTTTTGTGGAGAAAATGGGAAGAATCATCCCAAAATACTAGCTTTAGGCTTAACCAAGTTTTCACATTTTTCTGTTTTCTATTTGATTTCTGTTACCTTTATTCTAAACTTTTTTCTAGGTAGGAGCTGAGGTCATTCAGTTGAGACCTTTCTTTTCTAATACTGGTGTTTAGAGCTATAAATTTTCCCCCAATTACTACTTTAATGTTTCTAATTTCCTTTTTTATTTTCTTCTTTGAGTCACAGATTATAAGTTTGTTTAGTTTCCAAATATTTGGGGAGTTTTCCAGATATATTTCTGTTACTGATTTCTAATTCCATTTTGCTCAGAGAACATACTTTGTATGTCTCAAATCCTTTTGAATTTATTGAGACTTGTTCTGTGGCCCAGAATATGTTCTATCTTGGTAAATGTTCCATATGTACCTAAAAAGGATATGCGTTCTGCTATTTGGGGGTTGGAATGTTCTATAAATGTTAGTTAGGCCAGGTTGGCTTGGTGGGTGTTCAGTTCTGCTGTATTTTACTGATTTATTGTCTTCTTACTCTTTCAATTATTAAGAAAGGGATATTGAAATCTCAGGCTATAATTATGGGTTCGCCCCCTCCTCCTTGCAGAACTTTTTGCTTTGTCATTTGCAGCTCTTTTATTAGTTGCATAGACAACCTGGATTATTATGCTATCTTGATGAATTATACCCCTCTATCATTATGCAATGACCTGCTTTATCCATAATAAGATTCTTTGCTCTGAAATCTAGTTTGTCTTAATATTATAGTTGTTCCAGCTTTCTTTTGTCTATTTTTAATTTTTACCCTGTTTGTCTTTACATGTAAAGTAGGCAGCATACAGTTGTTCTTACTTTTTTATCTGATATGATAATTTTTACTTTTATTTGGTGATGTAGGCCATTCACATTTAATGTGATAATTGATGTGGTTAGTTTTAAATCTATCATCTTGAAATTTGTGTCCTGTCTGACCCATTAGTTTTATGTTTTCTTTTTCCCCGTTTCTGATTTCGAGTTATCTGAATAGTTTTTATTATTTCATTTTATCTCCTTTGTTGGCTTATTTGCTGTAATTTTTTGTTGTTGTTTTAGTGGTACCTTTAGGACTTATAATTTGTCTTTAATTTCAAGTTTTATCTTCAAGTAACATTATACCATTTTACATATTGTACAAGAACATTACAACAGTATACTTTCATCTTGACCTTTGTGCTATGATGTCATATATTTTATTTTTATGTGTGTCACAAACCCCATACTACATTGTTATTAGTAAAAAGTCAATTGTCATTTAAAGAGGTTTAAATAATTTTTAAAATCTTAAAATACATATTTTAAAATACATATTTTTATACCCATTGTACTTATGTCTAAAACCCATGAACTTTCCATTTCTGGTATTCTTCATCCCTTTGTACAGATCCATATTTTCACATAATGTCAGTTTGTTTCTACCTGATGGACTTCCTTCAACATTTCTTGTACTATGGCTTTGCTGGTGATGAATTCTGTCAGCTTTTATATGTCTAGAAAAGTATTTCTTCTTAGTTATTGAAAGATAATATTGGCTGGGCACGGTGGCCCACACCTATAATCCCAGCACTTTGGGAGGCTGAGGCAAGCGGATCATGAAGTTGGGAGTTTGAGATCAGCCTGGCAAACATGGGGAAACCCTGTCTCTACTAAAAATACAAAAATTAGCTGGGCGTGGTGGCACACACCTGTAATCCCAGCTACTCCGGATGCTGAGGCAGGAGAATCTCTTGAACCCAGAAGGCGGAGGTTGCAATGAGCCAAGATCGTACCACTGCACTCCAGCCTGGGCAAAAGAGAGACTCCATCTCAAAAAAGAAAAAAAAAGGTACTGTTGCTGGGTATAGAATTCGAAATTGGCTTTTTCTTATTTTTAGCACTTTAAAGATGTTGCTCCACTGTATTCTCACATTATTTTCCTTTGTCCCTGGCTTTGAACTGTTTGATTATGATGTGTCTTGGTGTAGTTTTCTTCTTCTTTCTTTTTTCTTCCTTCTTTCTTCTTCTTTCTGTTTGTTGTTTTTTTGTTACTCCCTTGGGGTTTGTTGACCTTCTAAAATCCTGTGGCTTTATAGTTTCAATCCAATTTGGAAAAAAATCTCCATTATTTATTTTAAAATTTGTTCATCTCTTCTGGGTTGATTTCCATTGATTAATTTTTATACTCATAGTAATTTTTTATTAGATGGTGGGCTTTGTGAGTTTTACTTTGCTGAGTGTTATATGCATATTTTAGTATTTATATAAGTATTTTTGAGCATTCTTCTGGAATACAAGTTACTTGGAAACAGTTTTATCACTTTGAGTCTTTCCTTTAAGATTTGTCAGGCTTCTAAGATTGTTCTGGGCTAATTATTCCCAACTACTGAGGCAAGACCTTTCTGTATATTCTACTATGGGGGGGTCAGTAAACTCATTGACCAAATCTGCTCCTCAGGCTATTTTGTTGGAACATCGCTATGCCCATCTATTAACATATTTCTGTGGCCACTTTTGCTCTACCACTGCAGAGTTGAGTAGCTGAAGCAGAGATCATGTGGCCTGAGAAACCGAAAGATTTACTATCTGGCCCTTTACAGAAAAAGTTTGCTGACTTGTGCTCTACCCAGTGACTCATGAATCATGCATGAGGTTTTACAGTCTAGCTGTTGAGAGTAGGTACTATTCCTGGCCCTATGTGTGGGCACTGGGTACTATTATCTCTCATATTTTCCAGAGACTGAAAATCTCTGGAATTCTCTTTCTGTGCAGGCTTGTCTTCAGTACTCAGTCCTGTGAATTCCAGTAATGTTGATTTGCTTGGACTCTTGACTTCATTTCCATCACAACTCAGGGAGTCTGCCAGGCTCTGTCTGGATTATTCTTCCTCGCAGTGTGACCTAGAAACTTTCACAGGGCAGTGAGTTGGGGCAGTGATTGGACTCTTGCTTTGTTGCCCTTCTCTGGGAGATCATTGTCTTTTGTTGCCTGATGCCAATTGTCTTGTAAAACATTGTATCATGTGTTTTACCCATCTTTTAGTTGTTTAATGTAGGAGAATAAATCCAATTCTTTTTACTCCATCTTATCCAGAAGATTGAGAAGTTGATTTGGGGCATGTTGAATGTAAAGTTGAATCCAGGGGTGAAGTAGAAGCTAAAGATATGAATGTGGGGATTTTTATTATGTAAATAATATTTAAAACCATAAGACTGAATGAGATCATTAAGGGAATGAATATAGATTGATAAGAGGTTCAAGGACTGACACCTGGTATATTCCAATATTAAGAGATGGGTGAGATTAGGAACCAGTAAAAGAGACTAAGGAGAAACCACTAATGTGCTAGGAGGAAAAGCAGAGTGTAGTATGGTTTCCACATTTTGTGGGAAATTATTTACACATTACTTAAATATCTTGAATCCCAAGATCCACCCCCTAATCATTTTAATCATGTAAGTCATCATAAGTAAGAACCCAGTACCTTCTATTTTAAAATTGTGACTTATATATTTTCCCAAAGAAGTTGTATATTCCTGCATAATGGCCCACAAAATGATTGGGTTAGTCATATTAGAAACCAGGTTAAAGAAAACTCCAATACATCATGTCATAGCATCTAAAACTATAATTAACCTGTACTTCCAGAACTATATATACCACTGTTTGGTAGGCTGTCAAGATAACGGCTGCTGAATGATCAAGGGGAAGTTAAACGTAAGCAAAAATTAAGAACTTTCATTCAGAGAAGTTAAGATTTTTCCTTATTTATGTGGTTGATATCCATAACAAAACATGAGCATATTAATATTTTTCAAATTTCAAAAATAGAAGACATTTCTCAAAGCTTAAAAGAACTAAATTTTAAAAATTAATGGAAATGAGCTTTTTTGGATGAAAAAATGAAGTCATAGAGAAGTTTAAATCAGTTGTTTGAAAACTATGTTTTTAAAGAACAGGATCTTCTACAAGTTGGAAAGATAGTCATCTCCTAAAATAAAATGATACCTTTTTTTGAAGGTATAGGCAAAATTAAGCAGATAGATAAAATTTTCCCCTTAGAAAGTTTCCTGCTGTTAACTTTCTTTTAAACCCTTATTGTCTCCTAGGACCTACCTTACTAATAATCTGTGGACTCTAATTTATCATAATTGTATGTTTTATTATCAATTATTATTAAATGAGGGAAAATTTCCATATTTTTAATGAAAAGGAAACATTTTTGGGTAACCTTAAGAATTTCTAGGGATAGACTTATTATATATTTTTTAAAATCACATGTATGAAATATATTAATTTTGAAAAATATGTTTTTCTGATCTTTCCTTGTATAAAATAATTTTATTCAAGTATTCTTATTTATCTGACATGATTTTTGAAAGATATGTTTACAGTGATATCTGACACTTCATATTTTAGGTCATACTCCTTGGAATAACTAATGCTGTTTAAAGTTTTGCTCTGTTTTTTATTTTGTCATTAAAATAAAAGAGCGGGAGGAACCGTATCTAAGAACACATTACTAGCATTCAGGGGAGTTTCCACAGTCCTACTTTTACATAAACATTTCTTGAATAAATTGACTTAGGTCAGTACAGGGGGATGGCTTAGAATAGCAATCATAGTTTTACATAAAGAAGTGGAGAAATAACCTGTCAAATTATGATTTTTTAATAAGCAAGAATTCAAACTTTTTATAACTTACTGATATCATACGTTATTCTACCTCAGTTTGTCATTTTTCTTGATTAGCAAGTTAAAAATAGCTACATAGGCCTGCACCACTAAGAAGATGGTAGCCTTGGAGGGAAAAGCTGGGGCTAGAGCAGTCTCCAGATCTCACAGTTACACCAGAGTTCCCAGATGAATTAATGACCCAAACGAGAGGCTTCTTGAGGTCTTCTTCGTTTCCACACACAGAAACATTTTTGGAAGGTAAAATGTTTGAACCTGAGAAGGACGGCTCCTCTCAAGCTCTCCATGACCTGAAGAGTGTCTAGGTTTAAAGAGGATACCCCAGATGAGCCCTGGGAAGTTACCTTCAGGCACTCCCAGGAGGTAAGCTTGAAGCACCTGAAAACCCTCACAACAGGCTGAAATCACTTGTGTTTTCCATGGAAAAAATGGTAATGACTGTCCATTTTTAATGCCTTTTTTCATAGAAAAAGTAGGAATGCTATGAATTTTCTCTAGCTGTTTGTGAGTTTTTTGCGGATAAAACAAAGTTACTAGACAGTATTATTATTATATTTAAAGCAAAGTTTTTACCATAATAGTGCTTCAGGGAACTCACATCTGTAACCACATCAGATAAAAAGCAATTTTCAGAAAAGAATGAAAAACTTCAATAATATCTGCAGTAGACGTGCCAGTGTTTTTCTATATTATATATATGTGTTTATGTAATTCATATTATATAAATATGCAAATGTATGTATACTTATCAAATTCTAGGTTTTTTCTTATAATAGCTTAATCACATTTTTTGTCTTTTTAAAGAAGTATCAATAGCTTTAGGGGTACACGTGATTTTTTGGATACATGGATGAATTGTGCAAGGGTGAAGTCTGGGATTTTAGTGTACCCACCATCTGAGTAGTATACACTGTACCTCAATAGGTAGTTTTTCATCCCTCACCCCACCTTCCGGCTTCCCCACTTCTGATTATCCAATGTTCATTATACCACTCTGTATGCCTTTGTGTACCCATAGCTTAGGTCCCACTTGGAAGTGAGGACATGTGGTATTTGGGTTTTTGATTCCTGAGTTACTTTACTTAGAGTAATAGCCTTCAGTTCCATACAAGTTGCTGCAAAAGACACTATTTCATTCTTTTTTATGGCTGAGTGGTATTCCATGGTGTATATACACCACATTTTCTTAATTCACTTATCAGTTGATGGGCATTTAGATTGATTCCATATGTTTGCAATTTAGACATTATCTTTTATTAAATATACTTAGTTATGAGATGTGTATTTCCGTATGTACCAGCAAATATATACCAGTGTATGAATGTGACAAAAAGGAAAATTTTAGTATTTCAAAGCTATAGGAAAAAGCAATGTAGCTTAATAGGAGAGCCCTGGCCTGGGATTCAGTTGACTAGACTCTTGTTTCAGTTTCTGTCCATCCATTACTCAGGTTCTTTATTTATGAAACAGGAAGGATTAATGGAATTGAACAGAATATTTCCCAAAACTCTTTATATTTACAATTCTGAATTTTTATTATTTTAACAAGTAGAAACCTAGAATAAATACTCACAAGTTTCCTACTTCCCTTATGCTTGGGAAGTCATCTTTTTCCCCCAAGTAGTCATGATAGTTACAGCTTTCTACCCTTGAAGTCATGAGTGCTCTGAAGTGGTAAGGAATAGAATTTAGTACATGGTTATAAAAGTCCTTTCATTACAGAGTTAAGTAATGGTGGGAAATGTGACCTCTACTCTTTAGTGAATAGATCTTTTTAATATACAGAGGCATTGTTCTTTTTGGCTTAATAATGAAGGCATTCATTATATCTAGCACTTGGTTCTAATCTCATCTTGGTATAGAATCCATTGTTTGATAATGTAATATGACCTTGATTGCAATTCATGGGGAACAGTCATGGTTGTGGTTGCTGTAAGGACCCTAATTATAGCATTTCTTTTGCACTTGCAAAATGAACTTCATTTTTATCAATGCTTATGAAGTTTGAGTAATCAAATTCTTTTAGGAATTGCTGTTGGTTAATCATTGATGAGATATTTCCTTACATTTTTGTGATTAGCTCTCAATATAATTTGATGCATGTACTTTTTCTTTGTAGTTATCTCATATTATTGTTAGTGAAAATTGAAAATGTCCCTGTGCTCTGATAAATTACCCAGTTGTTTGCTTCTTGAGGGCCACCATTACTTAAAATTAGAAAACTTGCTGGATCTTAAGATTTTTAGTATTTTAAAATGAAAATGTTTACATTGGTGACCATATTTTAATATTTAACTATTCAGGGGAAATATAATAATTCTGCTGTAATTACCTGTTGAAATAGAACAATTTCTAAATTACATTTGATGATGATTTTTAGCTCAATTACCAGAAATTTGAGGTTATATTCTTCCTTAGCCCTGTTTACATACAAATCTTTTCACTGTAGTACAAGGAGAAATGAGGGTCCCTGAAGAAGCTCTTAAGGTAACAGTTTTTACTTAACTTCTTTTGCAAATCTACTATTCACTATGGTTGATTTTACTTCTTGATGTTTCACTTCCATTTTTAAATGTTTTATAGCATGAGAAGTTTACCATTCAGCTTCAGTTGTCCCAAAAATCTTCAGAATCAGAATTATCCAAATCTGCAAGTGCCAAAAGCATAGATTCAAAGGTAGCAGACGCTGCTACTGAAGTGCAGCACAAAACTACTGAAGCACTGAAATCCGAGGAAAAAGCCATGGGTAAGCTGGCCTCTCTCGAAAGACCATCTTTATACTTGATCTTGAAGACACTGCATGCTTTGTTCTCAGAAAGTTGGCCATGTCCATATAAAAATAATTTATAATAGTGATAATTTCAGAGTGTGTTTTAATGCTACCAGTGCTTTCATTAGGAAACATTATAAAACACATAATTATATATAGCAGTTGTATATAGGTGTGCTTAATATGTTTAAATGTTTAAGAGAAGTAAATATGGTCATCCTTCAGTATCCGTGGGGGACTGGTTTCAGGACTCCCATGAGTACCAGAATTCACGATGCTCAAGTTCCTTATGTAAAATGGCATAGTATTTGCACATAACTTGAACACATCCTCCTGTATACTTTAAATCATCTCTAGATCACTTATAATACCTAATACAATGCATACACCTCACTTCATTTGTTTAATAGTACTTGGCATAAGGCAAATTTAAGTCTTGCATTTTGGAATGTAGTGGAATTTTTTCCCCCCAAAACATTTTTCATCTGCAGCTAATTGAACCCATGGATGCAGAACCTACAGATTCAGAGGGTTAACTGTGTAGTTTACCTTATAATATTTTTATTATTTCATGTTTGTCTGCATTTTCTTCTGCAGCATAACAACGAAAACGAATTAAAAGAAAAATTTTTTAAATCAAATGTGGCTATATCACCATATAATAATTTACAATTCTAGGCACGTTATAAAATGCCTTACATAAATAATCCCATTCAAACAGAAACAAGTTTTTAAATGAATAGGCATTACTACATTTGCTCAAACAAAAATATGTTAGTTCTGTTAAGAACTAGTTTTTGTGTCCTTGGGCTTGAAAAAAATTGGAAAATAGCTACTCATGTGAAAATTTACTTTAGCTTTGTCTTTTACATTTAGCCTTAATGAGCCATTTCTGATCAGACTGGTTTTGTTCTTCCCTAGTTGATTATTGTCTAGTTTCAACAAACTTGTTCTTCTGAGGTCACTTTCTGTCTAAGTTCAAGTAAAATGCCATTTGTTACAAGCAGTTCAGTTATATAGCAAACAACTCATAACACCTTAACAAAAAGCTATTGAGATATGTAGCACGTTGTGTTACTTAGATACCACCCAGTGGAAATCTTATTTATTTAGTCATGTCCAACATTGTATAAGATCTTTCACAAATACCGAGTTAATTCAGTATAGAGTACATTTTAGCTATCAAGACTATACTTTGCTTTTTAATTTAATTAATCAGGCAGTTCTAGCATTCTGCAAAAGTGTATTCTTTTCTGTTTCTTCTGCTTTAGACAGATTTTTCCCACCTCTTTCCAGATATTTCTGCTATGCCCCGTGGTACTCCATTATATGGGCAGCCGTCATGGTGAGGGGATGATGAGGTGGATGAAAAAAGAGCTTTCAAGACAAATGGCAAACCTGAAGAAAAAAATCATGAAGCTGGAACATCAGGTAAAAAAATCTCAGTCACTGTGACATTAAATGGATATTTTGGGAAGTATCTGTAATCTAAGCAAACAGCTGTCTACCATGAAAAGAGATGATCTAGTATTCTATACTTTGATTTTTTAAAATTGATGAATGTTTTAATGGCCTTGTTATTTTAATGTAAAATTTAAAATTATGTGTGATTATAAGTAAAGTATTAATTTTAATATCTTTATAAAGCACTTCTATTTAAAATATTTTTTACAGTTTAAAGGAGATGTTAAGATTTGGAAAGTAGATTAATGATATAACTAGGCATTTTAAGTATACAAAAATAATTATTAAAATATATCAATTAGACCAAAATAGTAGGCACTAATTTTGTGTTTTTATTAGATCCCCAGAATATAATCATATTTTTAAAATAAATTAGTTAATTTATTCTTTGAGATGGGATCACACTGTGTTGCCCAGGCTAGTCTTGAACTCCCGGACTCAAGCCATCTTCCCACTTCAGCCCCCCGAGGAGCTGAGATTATGGCACACACCATCTCATGTCCGGCTTAATCATATTTTTAAATGAAGAATTCCCACTTTGTTCAGAAATGTGATATGAAATTACAAATTCTTCAAAACCTCAGTGTGCTCATTGTAATGAGAAATGGCAGCAACAAGATTAGTTGAGTTTGGCAGCCAGAATGAAAAAATAGTTCTGGGTCAGATTCTCAGATTAATAGTCAAGGAACATATTTTTGATATTTCTGATATTGTTAATGGAGTGGTTCAGTCCATAAACCAGAAAATCAAGACTTCCAGGAGATGAATGGAGGCGTCAGTTGCCACATAAGGACCTTGCAAAGACATGAGGACAGAAAGATGGAGCAGCCAGTTTTTGAGATAACAGCAGACAAGGATCCAGAACTGGAGGAATTAAGTACAGGCACCTGGGCTCAGTATGGAAGACTAAGTCTGGCTCTGAACCAAGGATAAATTCCATGAGAACTCTTCTCACTTTTCTGCTTTTCACCCTAATTCTACAAGATAAATAGGACATTTTTCTTAGCTGGAGAATAAGAACATTGGTTCTTTAGGTATGCTCTAATGGATACAAGTCTAGAAAAGCGAGCATTATCAACTTCATCTTACAGTGCCCAAGGCTGAACTTGTCAACTTTCAAATAAATTCCCATCCCAGCTTTATTGTTTCTGTCACCAGCAGTTTTCTTCATGCCCATGCACAGAAACAGTATTACTTAGCACGCTTTCAGATGTAAATAACAAATGCTGCCTGAGACTAAACAGGGAAGAAATTTACTGGCTCACATAACTGAACCCCATGAGGGTTGTTTACTTCAGCATCTCAACAATGTCGTCATCAGCTAGCTAGCTTCTCTCCATCTCTCAGTCTTGCTCTTCATAGTGGTTGCAGACTGAGGAGTTTACCCTCACTCTCATAGGCTGCCTGCCAGTAGCAGGAAGGGGTACATGCTACTTTGATCACATCCAACAGGAAAGCGAAAACGTTACTTCCGGAAGACCTTCCAGAATTTGGAAGAACTTTGCCAAAAGTTCTTAACATCTCTCATCTCATTGGCCTCTAACAGGTTCAGGAGAGGGTCACCTGCTTATTTCTGAACCAATCCCTGGCAAGGCAAGTTAGATTATCCTTAAACCAGTCTTGCTCACCTTGAAGCTGTGTGTGGTGTTAGTTTTCCCCTAAGCCACATGATCTATGTCAGGAAAGAGTGGATGCCAGAGATTTTTGGAGTCCTTTGAGGAGGAAAGAACAGCGAAAGGATATTGAAAGAAAACCAAGGATGTCTGCTTTATTTGTAAATTTTGGGTGTTCCCTTCCCTTCATCTTGTTTGTCTAATCCTTAGGTCGTTGCCTTTCCCCACGCTGCCCCCCGTCCTGAGTCATGACTGGGCTACCAACCTCCTGGTTTCAACCCTCCTGCAGTTTATTTTGTATAACACATCTAAATTGATCTTTATTTTCTTTGTTCAAGAAACTACAATGACTGTCTTTTGCCTGCCAAATAGATTTTAAACTAAGTTGTTCATGTCAGAGTTTTCTAATTTTGTCCCAGTTTCCATGGTCAGCCTTACGTCCCATTACCAGTTGTTTGAGTGGTCTCTCCCAATGCATCCCCCATAAATTACGCTAATTCCTGCCTGCTCTTTTCCCACAGACATAAATACACACATACATTAAATGATAAAGGATACATTCTAAATGATGTCTGTATATTTATCGTCAGTACGTTACAGTTTCATTCACTATGTTGTGTGTGTGCCTCCTCCCCACAACTAAACTATACATGTCTTATTCCAGTACCGCATAATATACTATCACTGTGCCCTAGAGCCACCTAGTACTGAGAGGGGGAAAGATTTACCAATTAGGTGATTAAGAAAACATAGCTGAATATAATTATCACCAAACTCTGAAAATCAGTATGATAGTAATTTTTATCTTGCCATTAAAATTTTAGCCCTCCCCTGTCACACACAAAACAGCTTTTGAAATCTGAAGCGCATAACTTCTAACATACAATGAAGTGTATATGTAATTTTTGTACAGAAGGCACAACCATGATTTACAGTAATAGCTAACACTTCAGTAGTGTTTACTTTATCCAACATTCTTCTAAGTGCTTTGTATGCATTTATTTAATCATCACAGCAATACCTAAAGGTGTAGTTACTGTGATTTTGTAGATAAAGAAACTGAGGCATACTGAAATTAATTTACTTGTCAAAGTCACCCAACTACAAATAATGGAGCTGGGATTTGAACTTAGATTGCCTGACTCCTGAGTCCACGCTCTTAACCATAAGAAGTTTTAATATTTCAGCCATCATTACTCTTGTAAACACAATCACTCTAAAAGGATATACTTCATAGGGTACAAAGATTTAAACAAATACTCCAAAATCAAATAGCCATGAAAATTGATCCCTCCTAGCTCGGCATAATAAAATAAATTTCAAATGTGAAGCATCCAGCAATACTTTCATCTATATGAACGTAACTGATTCTCAGCTTGTGTGCTCTTTCTGCTAGATGACCAAAAGCCGTCTCATGATCTTGGGGTTCTTTTTGAGTAATAATTCAGTGATTTATGTCTTGTGTCAAATTCCTTAAAGTGCCCTGTCAGATACAGCTGATTAGTAATAGCCTTAAGAGACTCTCACTTGCTTTCTTATGTTAGTATGAGGATATTACTGTTTCAGATTTATCATTTGCAGCTTTTTAAAATATAGGATGAGGAAAATAGTTTACTGTCTTGAAATAATTTATGAAGCCAGCAGAAATTGTAGAATCAGATTTGAAATGCATATCAAGTGTTCTTTAATGTGGTCATTTTGAAATTAAGGTATTTTTAAAAACTTAAACTTTTTTTTAAGTTTCAAATTGTGGAATATACGTGATTAGTTTAATAATTTATCCTGTAGCATACTCTTAGTGAAAGCAAAAAGTGATTTGCTTCTTCATTATTAATTTTTAGAGTTGCATTCCAGAAAGGATAATAGAGTGTTTGCTACCTAGTAATTTTTAACGTTCCTCTCTGTGGGTTCATATATATCCAGAAACTCCTGAAGACTTGCCATATAGCTTAAAAAGCCCTGGTTTAAGCAAACACTTACTTTAGAGCAATTTCGTTCTCCAGAAATTGTGTGACTATTTTTAATCGTATTAAGACAGAAAGTTTGTCCTCAATTTACTTACAGCTATGCTTTTCTACCTCCTAACTTGGTCTCAACAATTAATTTAGGTTATAATTAAAGGCCTTTAAATGTCGCACACATTTTGAAATGGCATGTGCAACTGGGAATCGTAGATTTTTGGCTCTCTCATGTTGATTTTTAATCCAGCGAAACTAAATTTGGAAATTTTCAAGTCGTAGCTCCTTTTAAGCAAAAGGAGCTTCCCAGTCTTCTTAATTTGACATGCTTGAACAGACTAGGTTAGATGGATGTCTTAAGCAGAATGAGCTGTTATAATTATAGTTCTTGTCATCTCAAATAAGTTTAATATTTCATTGAATTTAGTACAGAAGAATGAAAAGAACATTTATTCTGGATGAAGTATAAGTATCCCTTATAACATATTGTGTTAAGGTAACACAGTCATAAAATACCTTAAGAACATAAGCAGATTATCACCAATTGCTTTTCTGATTTAGATATATGGAATTAATTATGGCATAGTCAATCATTAAATAATTTTTTAAAATCTAGTAATTGAGATTAATAATATAATATTAGTCTAAACAAGTATTTACTCTATTATTTAGTTTCATTTGGTATAACAAAATGAGTTTTGAAGATAGATGAATGTTAAATTTCTAAATTCCAGAATATGTTCTGTTAGTGTTCTGAGGGAGGAAAGGTGTTTTATTTTTCTATGTTGATTAGAAGACCCCTTATAGTTTTCTGTTAGGTACTTCTCAAGTGTAGTTGGACCACACTTCATCTGTTTTTATCATCTTTAGGGAAATGAATCCTTCCACATAATGAATTTTCCAGATGATTGAACTTTACTTTTACAGTTGATAGTTTTTTTAAAGTTTAACCATTTCCTAAGTTTCTATTAAATTAATTACCCATATTACCACCTTCTTAAGCAGAGAAGGTTCAGTATAATTTAAAACTTTTTCTTATGACTCAGAATCATCAATCATCAATATCAGTATTACTATTATTATATATATCAATAGCAATAGCAATATTGATATAATCAATAATCAAATATATTAGTAATATAATAATACTGATACTGCCCTACAATAATGTCCTCGGGAGACTGTAGTATATAAGACTGTTTGCCCTATATACTGAATGGTACTGGACTACCATGTTTTTGGGGCCATTTGTCTGCTCTTGTTTTTCATCTTATCTCTACCACTTGGTGCAATTTGTCTGTCCTTAATCCTCACTTTTGTACCCTGCCCAAGGTTTGCTACATGTGATCTGAGTAAATAGTAAAAACCTCTCGGTGAAGATCTTAACTGTTAGTAATGTTTATGAATATTCAAGGATAGGCATTGTCATATCTGTCTTGGGATTTTTAGAGTTGGGTTTTGGTATTAGCTTTTTGTCTTCCTGATTCTCAGCTGTTTTTGAAGGTTGAGGGAGAAGCATTTATTTGTGTACCTGCTTTGTTCTGGGTAACTTACATGATCTCACTTAATACTCATCTCACTAAATCTTCACAACAATCTTATGGGAAGATACTGTTTTCTCACTTTATGATGAGGAAAATGAGGACTACAGACTGATTAGGGATAAGATTTATCTGATTTCAGATCTTGTCTGGGCTTTGCATGAAACCAGGCTGCCTGGTTATGATCATCAGATCATAGTCTGCTGCCTTTCCACTCTATTGTGCTACTTGACATGGTTAGGTACTTGATTTCTAGATGAATTAGTTATTAACTTGTATAAGTCTCAAGTTTCTAGCTTTGAGTGAATGCGAGTTTGAAGTAGTACTAACGTGGGAATGGTGACCTTCAAAACAGTGCAGTGCAGTTGTTGATCTCAGCTGTTTTAATGCATGAAACATGTTAAAACATGTCAGTATTAACTGTGAACTTTTTTTGCAAGGGAGGAAAACTGAGATAATATTCCTTTGAATCATGAACAACAAGTGGTTGATAAGTGCTATATCCCTGGCCAGCTTTTTTGTGTTGCTTCATAGCTGAGCCACATCAGTTTTATTTAGCTCTCTGTATAGTGGATCAGTTTTATTTGGCTCTCTGTGTAGTGGTATTAGAAACTACCATCTTGACGTTGTTCTGTCACCTGAAGGATGAGCAAAGCAAAAACAAACTATATGTATATATCTATATGGGGGGAGGGAGAGAGGACAGGTTTATGAACCAGTTGTATGGACTTGATCAAGTACAGTACATTGTACATAGTAAAAAAATCGATGTCTGAAAAAATAGAAAAATAACATTAATGAACTATTAATATATGAGAAGCAGTTAATACATTTTATTCTAATGGAAATTTTAACTAACATGACTTCAGAGTAAACACTCAGAAGTCCAGCTGAACATTTTATTTTTAAGAAAAAGACAAATTAACTCTTTAATCAAACATTCTTTTAAACTTAGGTCATGTCATATAAATGTATGATTATTTCTCTGATAATGTAGAGTTTTTCCAATACTTTTCTTTCATGTTCAGTGATAGGAAAGCTGAGTAGATTTTAAAAGGGATAATTTTTCACAGTGAAAATTACAATATATTCTTTCATATTATATGTTCTCTTTGCCTTGTGTTTAGATTTTTTTGACAATTTATTATTATTATATTTATTGTGGAAATGGAGCTTGTTGTCTTCCGTGCCCTATCCCACACATTTGATTATGAAAGAGAGATGTTACTATATCATTCTTCTGTAACCTAACAGCAGTCAGGTTTTATATTATTTCATATTCAGACTGCTGTCAAGAAACCAATTATAGTACCTGACAGATCCCACTAAAATTTAATTTTTGAAAAGATGTTTCAAAAGACCAAATGCTTCACTTAATTAGAAAATGTTTGGAAACAACCTAGTCTCCCTGTATTGCCTTGTTTTCCTAATAAATTGTCTGTAAGTGATTTTTCTATTAATCTGTTTAAAAGCAGAATTTATTTTTGAGCTTTAGGGAAATATGTCTCATTTCAACTTGCTCTTCATTTTGATAACGGACATGCTTTGCTTCTTCAACAACAGGACAATAGCATCTTTAATTTTTTTATTTTGCATTTGCATACCGAAAACGTTTTAGTTGTCATTTTCATTTATGTATTTTATTCATAAATGCATCTGTTTTTATACTTTTGTATTAGATTCTGAGGCAACAGAAGAATAGTGATAGTGTTCCAGAGTTGCTTGCTCCTTCTGCCAACTCATGTTAATCTGAGGTTTACAATTCAGCTTTCCTCCAAGGAATTTTGACACTTTTGCATATTCTGCTGTATGGAAATGTAAACTTCCAGAGTTATTGTCTGGAAACTGAATTTCCTATTTTAACCTTATTTCTTTCACACTGCTGCTTGGATTGCAAACCACATGTTTTAGTCTTTATAAAATGTTTGTATCTTCTTGCAAGGATCACACTTCAGCAATATCTTTGTCATTCTGAAAGTAATGTTTCTGAATGTAATGGTGAAGAATGGTACGTGGAATCATTACTTCCAGAAGATCACTTACATATTTACTTCATGTTTGTATTCTCATTTGAGCACCTATTCTCCTTTGGAGCACTACATGTGTTCATATATATTTCAGATATCTCATCTTCGTGACTTGAGAAGGGAATTCATGGTTTTTCTGTCACTTTTTATATATACATTGAACATGCATCTCCATCTACATTTTATTTTAATTCTTTTGGACCTTGATGAATTCTAGATCCAAGTTGGAAAAAATATGGACCTAGCCATGCAAGATCCATTTCTTAACTGCTTTGCTCTCATTTGCCATTGCTGCTGCTTATCTTCCATCCCCTATTGGTAATCAAATAGCATGTTTATAATCAAGATTCTTTCTTCTCTGTGACATTTGTTCTGTGATATAAATGCCATTGGTTTTCATCCAGACTGTGATCTGCCTTCTGGTTCTCACGGAGTAGTACACATGGCCATTACCAGACCCCCTCAAGTGCCAGAAGCAATCAAATATTTTGAATTTTCTCTTATTTTTCTCATTAGGGTGCAGCATAGATGCCAAGCAAGTTGAGGAACAATCTGCAGCTGCAAATGAAGAAGTACTTTTTCCTTTCTGTAGGGAACCAAGTTATTTTGAAATCCCTACAAAAGAATTCCAGCAACCATCACAAATAACAGAAAGCACTATTCATGAAATCCCAACAAAAGACACACCAAGTTCCCATATAACAGGTGCAGGGCATGCTTCATTTACCATTGAATTTGATGACAGTACCCCAGGGAAGGTAACTATTAGAGACCATGTGACAAAGTTTACTTCTGATCAGCGCCACAAGTCCAAGAAGTCTTCTCCTGGAACTCAAGACTTGCTGGGGATTCAAACAGGAATGATGGCACCCGAAAACAAAGCTGCTGACTGGCTAGCACAAAACAACCCTCCTCAAATGCTATGGAAAAGAACAGAAGAGGATTCTAAAAGCATTAAAAGTGATGTTCCAGTGTACTTGAAAAGGTTGAAAGGTAAAGTGATTTGATCATTCAGAACTTCCTACTTTACGATAAAGAAAATCTGGTCTTCATTTACTAGACTACTAGTAGATACTTACATGGTAGAAAACATTCTGCTTTTTTCAAAGGTTACATTTAGTCTTAAAACTAAACAGGAAGCCACACTGCCCATGTCCAATTTCCTCATTCAAAATAGTCTTCCTTCATTTTCTTGACAAAACCAGATTGGTTTTATGAGCTTATATTTATGCTATAAAACATGTTTCTTTTTCTTCTAGAAATACAAGATTTATTAAGTTCACCAGTAGAGTTCCCTAGAAGATGAGTTCCATCATTTTCTTGATTTAAGGCAAAGATATATTCAATTCTGTTCTCTATTGAGATCAATATCTAGATTCTGAAAGAAATTTTAAGCCATTTGGTCTGAGCCAAAAGTTCTACTTTGGTAATGCAGTCACATCATTGATGGAGCACTTCAAAGTATTCTCAGTGGTTACTCATAAAACAAAGATTTTTGGTTTGGAAATATTTGGTAGGATCTATTAATCCAGTTTAAAATTTTTTTTAATATTAGGACTTTATGAAAATTAGAGTTGAATGTTCATTTTTGAAATAGTTATATATACTTTATTTGTGTACAACTTAGCCAAAATTAGTAACATTTGTATGTCTGTACACTGACGTATCAGCTGATCAGGTTTTTCTCATTGGTTTTGCCAATTAAATTTATTTTAGAATTGAGTATAGATTTATGTTACCCTATCTTTTATTTAATAAGCTATCTATAAGGAAAACGATTTTGAACAAATTGTGATTACATGTTTATCTGACCATTCTGTTACTATATTAGGAGTTTTTGTACTCCTAACACTTCATCTAGTACTTGAGCATGTGATAGGTACTAATTTGAATAAACAATGGGCGACTTCTCTGTCAATGACAAGACTGTCCCTGATTTAATCTGTACCTTATGTCCTGGCATTCTGATCAAGTAATGAAGAAATAGTATTTGTATACTTATTTCTGATTTGCTTCTAAGACATTTCCGGACAGTGAGATGATGTGATTACCTAATTATTTGTTGGAGCCTATCACAATATTTAATTATAGTTATCAGCAGTTACCTGGCATATGTATTTTTGAGACATGATTGTGACCTTTTACTTCTAGACAATACGTAATTGAGACGTTTTGTTTCTATAGGTTAACACTCACAAACACATAGGCTGTTTATATGAATTGGATAAATAATATTGATCTCCTAGTACAGTATAAGAGGTAGCTGAACCTTGAGAATTTAGAAATAACTTAGACTTTTTAAAACCACTCTTAATAAACAAAAACTGAGGTAAAATATCCTTTTAAAAGGTAATCATTTTAAAAATACCTGTATTAAACCCATTTATAACTTAGTCATTATAACTATTTTCTGTATTGACTATTATTATTATTATTACTTTTTTTTTTTTTTTTTTTGAGACGGAGTCTCGCTTTGTCACCCAGGCTGGAGTGCAGTGGCGCGATCTCGGCTCACTGCAAGCTCCGCCTCCTGGGTTCACGCCATTCTCCTGCCTCAGCCTCCCGAGTAGCTGGGACTACAGGCGCCCGCCACCACACCCGGCTAATTTTTTTTATTTTTAGTAGAGACGGGGTTTCACCGTGTTAGCCAGGATGGTCTCAATCTCCTGACCTCGTGATCCGCCCACCTTAGCCTCCCAAAGTGCTGGGGTTACAGGCGTGAGCCACCGTGCCTGGCCTGTATCGACTATTATTTTTAAGCCATTATTTTAAAACATTCTGTCCTCACAAGCCCATTTGTGGGCCTAATTCCAAATAGAGGGATTAATGTCCACATGTGTACTGTATCTGTATTTTAATGATTAGATCTTTTAAGCCCTTACTAGAAATTATGTAATCATATTACTGTTGTCCTTCAAAGTTGATTTATAGGTAGACATACATCCCAGTATGGTGCCAGTGTGAGAATTCTTCTTTTGGATTTGCCTTCAGACCATTTTACAAGCCATTGAAGATAATGTTTTTGTGAATATAACTCATTTTTTGATCCAAGATAGACTCATTTTACTTTTCTGGACATGTGTATAAATGACATGTAACTTTCTCCAAAAGTCAGAGCTTCCATCATTAGATAACAATTTTCCATGATTTAGGATATAAAAAGTATATAGCCAGACTCTAAATAAATGTAATTATAGCAAATAATAAAAATTTTACAAAAATTAGGTTTTCAGCAACTGTTTAGATCAAAGAATTGAAAGTAGGCAAAACAAAACTAAAACAAAAAACTTTGCTCCTACAAGAGTAAAATGCAGGTGCTTTGCGACAGTGAGGAAAAGAAAGCCCATACATTTTAACCCTTTAGGAGAGTTGCCACTGTTTTAGGCCACACCACTGACTTGTTACAGCTAACCTACCCTAAAAATATTAAAAGGACTTCAACGTATTTAGGCATGGTTAATGATAAGCAAAGGAAAGAAAAGAACCTGGTGAGGACTGTTTCCTAGTGACTTTATTAATGAGTAGAAACAGAAAATTGCAGCTGTGATGAGATGTTGACTTGTATAACCCTGACAGAATACAAGAGGGAATGGTAATTTTCCAAAAAAGAAAATGACTAATTTATAAGAAAAGTTTTGAACTACAGGTTATAGGAAAGATATTTGAAAGGGCCTGACACCACTAAGTGCCAAATTTTATCTATTGGAATCAATTAAATTCTGTGAAGATGGTATTTTCATTAAAATCTTTCTGTATGTGCGTGATCTGTTATTCTTATGGTACAGCAAATATTGGAATTTAGTTATTTTCAGCTTTTAGAAACTGGATTCCTTTTCAATAGAGCCAATACAACAATGAAATAGGTTGTAAAATCTAGTGTTTTTAATGAAGTCTATATTTGAACTAGTGAGTTTGTTTGGGCTTGCCTTTCATCTGCTATCTGTTATTCCTAGCTTAATTACCTGAGGCAGGGATTTCATTAATTAATCCCATTTTTTCTTTTCAGATTGCATTTTGAGTAGTCAACAATTTGAAGAAAGATCTTCAGATTTGTTGTCATATATGATTTTTATAGTATTAATCACTATTACTTTGATAGACGTGATCTCCAAATCACCTTCATTTTGATCTTACTCCCTTTGTTTCCCTTGCCTATTACTTTTCCAAGACATGACCCTTTTCTGTGTGTTCTGCAGTTCTCTCTTCTGTGTCTTCTCATTCCTTTTATGCACCACATTTTTATAACTAGTGTTTCTGTGTTAAATCATTGGGACCAGTTAGTAATCTCTAAATTCATTAGGAACAACCTACAAACATTAACACTCAACTTCCCTAGACATAGGTCATTTGCCTCTCCCACCCCTAAGTCTTTCATGTCTGATCATTATTTTGTTTGGTACCATATTATTCAGTGGGTGTTCACATTAAAACTTGTAGCCCAGGTAAATTTAAAAATCAGATTTAGTCCTGGAAGCATTAGAATGTACCTTGTTGACTAAATTCATTTATAGCTAAAGAAGCTTAAAACTAATTTAAGCTCTGATTTGTGATTCCATTTAAAACATGCACAGAATAACTTGACTTTCTAATAATTTCATGCTGTAATAATAAAATATCATTTGATTATTTTTATCATATACTTATTACTTAGGTAATGAGAATTTTAAATCAAGAAAAAAATAATTTTTGTGTCATCACATCCAAAACCTAACAGAACCATTAAGGGTAACTAGTGGCTTTTACTTGCTCTAAAATAGAAAAACCTTTGTTAAAGAGGTGATCTTTCAAAATTCAAATATATTCTAACCTGATATGCTTCCTGGGGAAAACAGCTGGTTATATTTAGCACCATGCTGTTTGCCCAGTGGTCCTTAGATCTAGGTGGAGATTTCATAGATGACCCTTTGCACTGATAGACCTCTCAGCATGCTTTCTTTAACTCTGAAGCCACTAGAGTTTCGAGTGCAAATGCAGTTTTCAAAAATTCTCACAGCTGGAAAGATATGTGGAAAAAATTTTGCAATAATTAATGGGGACTACAAATTTGAATCTTTTTAATAAAAAGGAAAAATATGCTGAGCTTCTGAAAGTACTGAACATCAGTGAAGCTTAAGATTCATCACATTTTTACAATACTTGTGTTCTCATTTCCTGTGTAACAGTAAGCATTTCAGTGATATTACCCTTTTTCTTGTCTTTCTTCATCTCTAATGCTAGAGTCAAATTTTTTATTGCTAAATAAGGTGTATAATTTGAAGGCAGAATTAATGTTTATTGATGTTAGGAATACAAATATCGCAGAGATAGAGCATCGCTTATCTATTAAGACATTGATGAAACATTATAAAGTTAAAATTTGGAGAAAGGCGATCCTATTCAGTTGTTTATAAAGGACCTCATTGTTAGTTGATAAAATTTGAATGTAACCATTGCAATTGAGCAAGTTTGCCGAGCCTGTTACTGAAGAGAACATATGACTTTGGATTGATAAGGAGGAGGGGAGCAAAACAAATAGCACTTTTGTACATGCTTCTAAATTTCTACATGGGACTTTTTCCTTCTCTATTGTGTGGTTTCTTTTTGTATCCAGGAAATAAACATGATGATGGTACGCAAAGTGATTCAGAGAATGCTGGGGCTCACAGGCGCTGTAGCAAATGTGCAACTCTTGAGGAACACTTAAGACACCACCATTCAGAACACAAAAAGCTACAGAAGGTCCAGGCTACTGAAAAGCATCAAGACCAAGCTGTTGTAAGTCAAACTGCTTTTATGATTGCATTCTTTGATGAAGACAATCCCAGAAAAAGAAGGTCATATTCTTTAACTCAAAGTGCGGGAATCTTGTGTCAGGAAACTACATATTCAACACCACATACAAAACTTGAGAAAGCAAAGTCTTCAACAGCAGATGCCAAAGTGGTTTCTTTGTCTTTACAGACTAGCTCTGTGCATCACAGAGGGGGGCATGGTGTTCCACATGGGAAACTGTTAAAACAGAAATCAGAGGAGCCATCGGTGTCAATACCCTTCCTACAAACTGCATTATTAAGAGGTTCAGGGAGTCTTGGGCACAGACCAAGCCAGGAGATGGATAAAATGTTAAAAAATCAAGCAACTTCTGCTACTTCTGAAAAGGATAATGATGATGACCAAAGTGACAAGGGTACTTATACCATTGAGTTAGAGAATCCCAACAGTGAGGAAGTGGAAGCAAGAAAAATGATTCACAAGGTAAATAATTGAAATTTGAGTGTGATCTTAGTTGTTGTGTGGTGTATTTGACTGGTGGAAACTATTGGAGAGTCAGCATGAGATGTTGTCATGCAGTCAGTGGTATGTGAATTTTAGGGTTTTATTAGGGAACTGCAAGACTAACAGTAAGACCAACATGCTTTGTGATTTTATTTGCTGATATTCTGAATTTACCTGAGTTTCATACATAAAGCTCTGTACATTTAAAAGGTTTGGACCTTTTTAATTTGTGTAAATTAAAGATAGGTTTTAAAAAAATAGTATGCTTTGGACATTCTTGCTTTGCATTTACTTAAAAAATAAAAAGAAACAACCAACAAACATTGCTATAACTCTGTTAAACATAAATGTAGATATTAGCCAATAATAGTTAACCACAGATTTCCTACCTGCTGATTTCATGTTGGAAGATGAAAATACTTATTTTAGCTTTGTTCTTTGTCCGTATTTTTTCTTAATTTCTATTCACTGCTGTCATTGGTGGTAGAAGAGAAGTATATGAAAACAAAATCAGTTGTTTATGATTTAGTTTACTAGTTTAACCACGTATATGACCAGTCATGATAGTTACCTACATTTCAAGTGTATTCTTTGATATTATTGGTTAGCTGTGTAAGGATTGTTGCATGGTTTAAAAAGTAATTTTTCTCAGTTTTGCCAATGGTCGTGAAAGGTTGACTTCAGAATCAGCTATCAAGGTTGCCGTTGAAAGTAATGGCAAAAACCGCAGTGACTTTTGCACCAACCTAATATTACCTCTTGCAAAACAGCAGTATCCGTTTGGCTAAACGTTAATCTTTTGTTTGAATTCTTGTTACTCAAATCCGCTCCATGGGTTAGCAGCATAAATATTACTTGGAAGCTTGTTAGAAATGCAGCTTCTCAGGCCCATCCTATATATACCAAGTCAAAATCTACATTAGAAATGAGATCTCCAGTTGACTAATGTGCACATTAACATTTGAGATGCACTTATTTAGATGATGAGTTTCTGGAATGGCCTCTTCAGGGAGGAGGGCAAGATAAGATAACCCTTTGGGATGCAGGAAAAATATTAGAACTTAATGTTTACTTTTATTTTCATATTTTTAATTTTTATTTTGGATTGTGTTCTATAGTGTATAAAATCTATTACTACACTGTAAGAGAGTATGTATAATTTCTAAACATACATTTATTGTGGAGTACATGCTTAAAGTTTACCACTGAGCTGCTCAACTCCAAACTTTTAGAGACCCATTGTCTGGGAAATAGGTGAGCAATATTATAGTTGTTAATATGAAAAGTATAGTGTTTAAGAAACATCTGATGTTTCTTAATGACTGATCATAATGGCTGATGTTTTCCCATTAAAAGATTATTTTGCAGTGAAGGATTTTATATGTATATATATACAGAGAGAGAGAGAGAGAGTGCAATTTAAGAACATGGACACTTGTAAGCAGACAGATCTGGGATTAAATATAAACTTTGCATGTGCTAGTGTGTGCCCTTGGGTAAAGTTACCTCTTTAAGCCTCAGTTTCTTTTATCTCTGAAACAGAGGCGATATCACTAGATTATAAAAAGAATTCAATAAAACATGTAAAAGGCTTATCACAATACCTATCTTATTATATTGCTTTATAAGTGTTGCTTTATCATTACTGTTATTAGGAGTTTCCACATTTGAATCTCTACATAAAGTACTGACAAATCCCAGAATGTTCTTTCAGCACTGAAAGGGTTAAATATACAACCACAATGGAAGTGACAGTGTGAGGGGCTAGCTTGGCCAGGACAGCAGAAAGCCAAGAAAGAAGTCATTGTAGCAGATGAAACTCTTCAGGAAACTGCTGGATAGAGAGGGTGGCCACAAAACCTGTTTTACACCTGTTGCCTGCAATTATCATAAGCATCATTTTTTATTCTCAGAGTCCATTTTGACAGCAAATTATATGGTCACACTGTGGGTAGAGAAACCCAAGACTTTAGAGCAGGAGTCATTTAAAGGAGTAATGGTAGTGTGTGACTGTGTACATAGTTCAAAGTCATTCTTAGTTTGTATAAACCAGAAAATGAAGCTGAGACCATATTGCTGGGAAGAACAAAGCTCACTACATTATCTTGTGACTACCAAAGAAAAAGAGCTAAGATTCCATTAGTTTGAATCCACATAAAGCTTAAAGCCAAATTTGGGCTAATTAAAGTCAGGCTCTGGGAAAACAAAAGCATAAAAGCAGGAATCATGTCTGAGTAAGATGAAGTAACCTGTGGGTATGAAGAAAACAAAGACCAACAACAGCCAGAAGGAAGGCAGAAAAAGCACTTTGGGAGGATAGGAGTAGATACAGGCATCATATCAAGTTGCCTGGACGAGTGTTGTCATCCAGTTTCTCCATTTTGAGGTTTGAGTGTGTGGGATTGAAGTTGGGGCCATCAGCTGTTGTTTGTCTGAATTTAAATGTTCTTTGGTCCTGGAAACGTTCATGTGGTCTAACTCTTCTTTTCATGTCATCATTTGAGATGTGTTCTATTTCATTGATTCATTTATTTAGCAACTTTAATTCAACATTAACTATGTGCCAGGCTTTGTGTCTACGAGAAGGTGATTCACAATGAAAAGACTGAGCTCTTTCTCTCAAGAAATGGCTGTGTACTGGAATAGATATACACAGACGAAAACCAAGACTTTAAAAATAAAGCTGTTGGAGGAAAGCTACCAATAGCTTCCAAGAGGAGATCTCAGGTCTTCAGAGGACATTCCTTCCTCAGAGAAGTCTTTAGTCGTTCAGTTAAAAAAAAAAAAAAGTAGTCACTGTCATCAACTTGTTTCATTTTAATCATAAGCTTTATTACTGCTTCACCAGTTCACTGTTTATTCATTTGCCTCCCCACTCCCATTGGAAAGAGACACAAACAAATGTAAACTCCATGACTGTAGGAACCTAGTGCCAGCATATAAAATGTCCTCAATAAATATTGCCAGCTGAGCTAGTCGTGAAACATACATAATTAATCCCATAACAGGCATGCTAGGTAGAGTTTTCCAGAAATATGGAACAGCCTATTCGAAAGCACAGGAGCACACATGACTTGTTCAGAGGACCACAGTTACTTTTGAAGAGATGAGATTGGACTCGATATTGAAGTTCATTATATATCATACTGAGGACTTTAATGCTGAAGGCAGTGGGGAATCATTGAAAACATTTAAGTAGGGCAATGACATGGTCGAGTCACTGTCAGAAGTGTGAAGTATGGATTGAACATTGGAAATGCCAGAAGCACAGAAGGCAATCTAAAAGCTGCTGTCATGTCCAGTAGTCAATTAGTTAATGACTAGATCTTAGGTAAGAGGCCTGGGCTAAAAATACAGATCTGGGAATTATTAGACAATAGAGGGCAGCTGTCTTAGTACGTTTTGTGTTGCTATATCTGAGACTGGGTAGCTTATCAAGAAAAGAGGTTTATTTAGCTCACAATTCTGCAGGCTGGGAAATTCTAGAGCATAGCTCCACATATGGCTGGCTTATGTTAAGGGCTACATGCTGGGTCAAAACATGGTAGAGAAAGTCAGAGGGGAAGTGGACATATGCAAAAAGGCAAAACAAGAGGGGCTGCCTCACTTTATAACAGTCTACTGTGAAGGGAACAAATCCATTCCCATAAGAACAAGAACTCACAAGATAGCATTAATATATTCATGAGAGATCTGTCTTTTTGACCCAAACACCTCCCATTAGGCCTCACCTCCCAACACTGTCACACTGGCAATTAAACTTCTATATGAGTTTTGGCAGGGACAAACCACATCCAAACCATAGCAGTAATTGAATACAAAATAAGAGATGAGATTAATCAGAGAAAATGTATAGGGTGAGAGCAAATAAAGTATGAAAATCTCAGCAACACCAACATTGATGGACAAAGGAGAAGGGCGAACGAAGGAAACTGAAAAATATGAAACAGGAATAAGAGAAAACCAAAGGAATATGTAGCATCTTGGAATCAAAAGCAGAGCAAAGAGAAGTCAGTAAGCAACAGTATCACATGACACACTGATGTTAACTATGATGAGCACAGAATGCCTTTTCAGTTTTTCTCCAAAATACATTGTAATTCTTGGGCTAAAGAAGATGAGCAAACTATGTATTTTGCATCTTACCTTGGGAAGAGTTGCATAGCATTAAAATAGGATTTCTTTAAAGAGATGACCAAGCTAAACTGCTGTATCCTTATTTTTCTGTGCTGGTAGTAGTTAAAAGATAGTGAACTACCTACCCTCTTTTTCTGTCGCCAAGTTATGAGATGACAGCATTTGGGTTTGTATTTTGGGGCTGTCTCTCTCAATAGATCACCTTATTTTATGCATGTCCTCAAATTCACCTTTAAAATGTTAACACAAATACCTGATATTGATAAAGACCTCTTAAGTTTTACATCTAAGTTTACATGGAAATACACTATAAGAAAGTGCTGTTGACTGCCTAGATTAAAGGCATTTATCTCTCATAGTAGTAATTATCTCTCCCAACCCTCTCTCCCTTGGCCTCTCCGATAACTACCTTCCCATTACAGTACCAGTTTCTTCTCTCCACTCTTCCATCAAAAGAGATAACCACTGAGGCAAAAGGAAGACCTTGTCAGGGTTACTTCCTAACCTCCTAAGCTAAATAGGAGAAACTTGTGGTAAGAACAGAAAGCTAAACATTAAAGGAACATGAAAAAATGATCATTGTGGAGGGCTTGAGGAACTATCCTCTTAAAAGAAATATTTCTCCTCATAAATTTCATACCATTAGACCAACTCTGCCAGATACTTTTCTTGTCCTGAGTTTTGATTCTTGTTCATTGTGTCAATATAGCTCCCCTACAAAGCCTCTTATTAGCGTCTTTTCTTCCCTCATAGGGCCTGGTCACTGCTGGTTCTATAAGCAACAGTTGGTAGGGAAGAATCTAGAGCCAGGAGACCTATAACAAAACTAGAAACATGGGAGGAAGAACATTTACAGCAGCGAGTCAAACAGCTCAAGAAAGTCAGTGCTGAGGATCTGGACCCTGTAAAAATATTCCAAACCCTGAAAGTCACAGCAAGATTTAAGATGAGATCCAAGTAAGAGCCAGGGAACGATGATAAACCAGAATCAAAATCTATGTAGACAGTGCTACATAGAACTCAGAGGAAGGCAGGATGTCCAAAGTCCACTCAGATAGAAAATTAGATGTGCATGGGAACTCAAGGAGTAGGAGATCAAGTAAGAGCCTTGGACAATAGGAGAAGACTTTGACAACAGAGTCAGTATTTTTATTTTTGACTGAGCAATTTTTTCTATATTGAGAATTTTTTCTTTTTAATTTCTACCAGGAGAGCTTACTTTTGGTTTCTCTGATTAGTTCTCCTCAACCCTTCTTAACCTCTGCTGCCTCCTTCCTGGGTATAAGAAACCCTCTCCTGCTATGTTAATTTCCAAAGCTTCACCAGGGAACCCTCACCTTTTATTCAGCCAGACACCTAACATAATAGGTTTGTCCTCATTTTCCTTTCTCTCTTATTGTATGAAATTCTATTTATTTTCCTCTTTGAGGAAATTGTGCCCTCAATCTAATAAGCTCTTCCTTGTCTTTTTGGCATGCCTAGCTTCTCATAATTCATTTTATTTATTCCTTCCATCTTTTTATTGTGGAAAATACATATAAGAAAATCTATCGTCTTAGCAATTTTTAAGTGTAGAGTTTAGTGTTATTAAATACGTTTAAAATGTTGCACAACCATCACCACCATCCATCTCTGTAACTTTTTGTCTTGAAAAATGTAAACTCTATACCCATCTCATAATCCACTTTGAAGTGGCTTTTACTCACCACTCTATTTAAAGTAGCTGCATCATTCACTTCTTATATCTCTCCATCAGATTGCCATGTTGTGTTTTCTTTATAGAACTCACTTCCATCTGGTTTATTTTCTGTTTGTCCACTCTAAGATGATGTTATTTGTCTTGTTCACATCGTATCCCTTGTGTCTAGAACAGTGTCTGGCATGTAATAAAGACACTCAATAAATATCTTTTGAATGTGAATGAATGAGAAAGAAAAATTTTTGACCTGCTTTTTCATTTGTTAGCATTTGTATATGATTCATTGTATATTGGCTAACTTATTTCAATGAATTTATAGATTAATTAAATCCAACCACGCCCCCACAAAGAAATTTTTCTGCATTTTTATATGCTGAAACTAGTTTATATCTTGATTCCAAAATAACTTGTTAAAATATATAGTTTAAAACCTTGTATATATTATAAACTTAGCTTTGTAATATTAAGTATGAAAGCTGCAAAGATAGATAGTCTCAGAAGAAGAAGAAATGTATAAATTTCGGGGAGATGCTGTGATAAATAGACTAGACTTACCTTTGAGTTCCTAGCGATACCTACCTGACAGCTTCCAGCTGGAAAATCTGCTTGGCAAGGAAAGGGGAATATGATTATTGATGAACTTCCAGCTTATAGGGACTGTAAGAGGGGATGCATGACCAGGGAATGAACCATAAAAAGGAGAGAAATTGGACATTTAAATTTTAGAGGAATTAGATGAGATCTAAGTATAATTTGAAGATATGAAAGAAAGAGCAAATCGAGAAAGATGTAGGAAGTGATGGGAGGGAAGAGATTATGGATGTAAGACTTCTAAGTAATGGGGAGAATCAAGGACACAAGATAGGTTAAGAGGGAAGACAAAGATTTAAGAACATGTTTTCACCCAGACAGGGGAGCAAAGGAAGAAGACAGAGGCTGAGCGCAGTGGCTCACGCCTGTAATCCCAGCACTTTGGGAGGCCAAGGCAGGTGATCACGAGGTCAGGAGACTGACACCATCCTGGCTAACACGGTGAAAACCCCTCTCTACTAAAAATACAAAAAAAACAGCAGGGCATGGGGCATGAGCCTGCAATCCCAGCTACTCGGGAGGCTGAGGCAGGAGAATCGCTTGAACCCGGGAGGCGGAGGTTGCAGTGAGCCAAGATCGTGCCACTGCACTCCAGCCTGGGTGACAGAGCAAGACCCATCTCAAAAAAAAAAAAAAAAAAAAAGAAGAAGAAGATAGGGTCCCACTTAAAGAAAATATGAGGTAAAATTCATATAATATAAAATTGACTATTTTAGCCATTTAAAGTATACAATTCAGTGGCTTTTAGTACATTCACAAGGTTGTACAACCATCAGCACTATCTTAATTTCAGGGCATTTTCATCACTGCAAAACAAAATCTCATAATCATTAAGCAGTCATTTCCCATTCCTTCCTCTCCCAGCCTCCTGGCAGCCACTAATCTACTTTCTGTCTCTATGGATTTGCTTATTCTAGACATTTTGTATAAATGGAATCATACTATATGTGGTCTTTTGTGACCGGCTACTTTCACTTGGAATAATGTTTTCAAGGTTCACATGTGTTGTAACCTGTATCAGTACTTCATTCCTTTCTTTTTTTTTTTTTTTTTTTTTGAGGCAGAGTCTCGCTCTGTTGCCCAGGCTGGAGTGCAGTGGCGTGATCTCGGCTCACGTTATGCGATTCTCCTGTCTCAGCCTCGCTAGTAGCTGGGACTACAAGCACTTGCCACCATGCCCAGTTAATTTTTGTATTTTTAGTAGAGACGGGGTTTTGCCATGTTGGCCAGGCTGGTCTTAAACTCCTGACCTCAGGTGATCCACCCGCCTTGGCCTCCCAAAGTGCTGGAATTACAGGTATGAGCCACCACTCCCTGCCCATTCCTTTTTATGGCTGAATAAATATCTTATTGCGTGCATAAACCATATTTTATTCATCCATTCATCCACAGATGGATAATTGTGTTGTTTCTTCCTTTGGCTGTTGTAACACTGCTGTGAATGTGCATGTACATATATTTATTTGTGTACCAGGATAAATTATAAAATGTCTCTCCTGACTCCCTTTCTGTGCTCTTCTAATAATTTTGTCTGAATTTTAAATTTAAAAGTTGATTACAAATATGTGATAAAAATCACAGTGTTAAATATTCAGAATAACTTATTCCATTGAATTTTAAGGGATTTTTCTTTTTAAAAGTAAAATTAGATTTTCATAGACAATTACAAAAATAAATTCCCCTCTTAAATCATCCTGATTTAGTTCCTTGACACTAGTGGCTAGAATTCTGCATAATTCTTAAAGTGTCAAATTACTTTCATGGGCCATGGGAACCTCTACTATTGATTTGATCCAACAGAGACCCTGCTCTCCTTACCCAAGAAGTCTTTGCTCATTGAGGAGAAAGATGTTCTGGTTATCTGAGGTTGAAACTTGAGTACATTTTTACTTGGACACCTTGACGTGATTGATATACTAATGCAATATTATTTTTCATTTGTTACTTTAAAATAAGACTGTAGAAGTTAGATGTTTAATCTGCCATTATATTTTTCATTTCTGTGGGAATATGAATTCTGAATTCCTACTGATTTGGATATTTTTTAAACTAATAAATTAGCACTATTGCTATTGAATTATCATTTTGCTCTACACTGTATTACTATAGTTTTATGCCTACATCTTACCCCACAGCGCTTCTCTTCTTTCACAATGGTCTCTATTTTCTGTCACAATCAGCAAGCTTCCCGTATGTGATGTTACTAAATGTAAATTTTGACCTCTCTGCAAATATTCAATAGGTAGGATATTTATCCCCATGAAAGTTGACCCTGCATCCCCCATCCTCACCATTCTGATTTCAGAATTGGACACTGTGCATCTTTGCACAGACTGAGCTTTTAAATAATAATGACTATGATCATAATATGCTAGTGAAAAAAATCAGTCAAACTTTTCATAGGTTTGGTTTGTATTGTACGAGTTTGTTATCTGGAGAATGTCTAGTCTCTTTAAACTTAAAACTAAAATCTAAAAATATAGTTTGGTTCTTATGGATATTTGGTTTTAATTACAGAATATTCCTGCATGGTTCTTTCAGGTGACAGCCTCTTCTTTTTATAAGCTCCTTTATCAGACGTAACCTCCTCAAAAGCAAAGACTGTCATACAGATTTTGTAATCCCCTGCAGTGGCTAGCCAAGTAGCCTGTGGAGAGTAAGTGCCATTCCTCAGTAACAGGTTGTTAAAATTGTTTACAGTAGCCACTGAGCTTTGGATTTGAAATCCCAAAGTGAAATGCCAAATATACAAATGTATTCAGAAGAAAAGATTGTTTCATGATTGTTGGAGTGGGATAGGGAGGGAGGTACTGCCTTCTTATCCCAGACCTAAAGGCCATGGCAGAGGGGTTGTGGCTTACTCCACAAATAGAGATGTATCTACTCGGATCGGGGGAACTGTAGGAGAGAATATGTGAAAGCCACTTCCTACGCCCAATACGAATGAGTTGTCTTTAAACATCTGCCAGGCCCAGGCAGCTCTCCATGCAAGTGCAAGTTCACAAAGAAGTTTTCTACTCCTGTCCTATTCCGCCTTCCTTTGATCCTACTCTGGAAGAATTAGAAACTGGCAAACTTGGGGTGCAAGCATAAAAATTAGGTGTCTCATCTCCTTCCCCACTGTGGACTTCTAGCCTACAGAAGTTCCTAGCTGAATGAAAGACCTAGATTTTGTACTATCTCATGTTTGGGATTTGGATTGAGACCAGACCAGAGAAGAGAATCATGAGCCTAGAGCTGAGATACTATGTTGGAAATACCTTTGAGGCCGGGCGTTGTGGCTCACGCCTGTAATCCCAGCACTTTGGGAGGCTGAGGCGGGCAGATCATGAGGTCAGGAGATCAAGACCATCCTGGCTAACACGGTGAAATCCTGTCTCACTAAAAATACAAAAAAGTAGCCGGGCGTGGTGGTGGGCGCCTGTAGTCCCAGCTACTCGGGAGGCTGAAGCAGGAGAATGGCGTGAACCCGGGAGGCGGAGCTTACAGTGAGCCGAGATCGCGCCACTGCACTCCGGCCTGGGCGACAGAGCGAGACTCCGTCTCAAAAAAAAAAAAAAAAGAAATACCGTTGAGCCTTCCAGCAGGTGGGATGACAGCAAGCAACAGTCTATATAGTTGGTAATTGAAGTGAAGCCTCGCATGTTCCTAGGTGAAATCACCTGGGAATAGAATCTAAAATGAAAGGTGAGAGAACCTAGCATACTTGGTCTTGGTTTTGAGGAGCTCTCAAGTTCTGTACAATTATCAGCTCTTTTTTCAGATTGTAGGTACCTTTTATAAGTGTGAAAAGTACACTAACTTTAAGTATATAGACAGTATAAACTTTATATATTTGTTTTCACATAAAGTTGTCACAGGTGGATGTGTTTCTACTTAGAGGCAGAAACGCATAGATATGGATTTCAATCTGGGCTGGTAGTCATTGCTATCATTAATTTTTCAAAACGCTATCAAAACAGATGTGAAATTTGAAGGCTTCTTTCCCCACACTGTAGTAGGTCAGGCCCTACCACTTGTTTGGAGAAGAGATAATTGTTACTTAATAATGTATGTATAGCTGTCTCTAATGCTTTAAAAGGAATCTGTCGAAAGTCATCCCAGTATTTTCTGTCCTGCTTCAGCTCCCCTTCCTCACAGGATTAGTTCGTGTGTTTTTTGTTGTCATTTCAAAGTGGTGTCAGAAGTGATTTAGAGAGGTTCATGATATTTTATTTGAAACTGCTGGTGCTTAGATGTTTGAGGAAATCAACTTTTTAGTGTGGATTAGAATTAAATATTCATCAGAAAATCACTCAAGGTAATTTCTAAATTACATGTCAAACAGATGCAAAAATGCAAGTACTCATGTGGTTATTTTAACTTTCAAACCTGAGTTAGATTTTTGTTAGTAATTATAAAATAAGTAAATAAACTTCAGTAAAATTGGAGTTCAGTGACTTGAGTTAGGAATGATTAACTTTTTTAAAGACGGACACAAATAACTTGAATAGCTATAATTTGCTTTCTTTACAAGTGGGGGTTAAAGGTAGAGGACACAGGTTATACTCTGGTTTTTTCACTGCTGTTAAACTTAACGCTAATATTAAGCAAAACGAAGCAGTTTTTGTTTTTTCCCTTCTGTACATTGTGCTTCCATGTATTAAAATTCATATTTGATTTAAAATAAACAATATATAATTTACTCTTAAAGCAAAGATAATTTAAATATTGAGGAGTTCAAGAGAATATTAAATCATAATTCTTGACAATTATGGTTATGTTAGAATTAAATATTAAGTAATAAGGCCATCTAGTGGTAAAATTTTCAAGTTTTAGTGAATGAGAAAGTCTGATATCTGTTTCACTAAATATGAACTTTAGAGCTTATCAGATAGCTGTACTATAAGACCATTAAAACTTTATGTCTAGAAAATAGTTTAGCCTGAGGTAGCTTCTCCTTATAGAAAATGAAGGCTCTCTGGTTATATCCTAAAGATCCTGTCTGCAAATTGCTCATTCAAATGCATGATATTTTTCTAGATTGTAATAATCAGAGCCACAAACAATAACTATAAAGAATAAAAATTGGGAACACAGTGGAGATTTAATAGCAGAATAGAATGTTAATATTTATATGCCTAAAATTTTTCCAATCTATTCTGTGACATCCAGGGCCTATTATGTGCCAGGAAATGAGTAAGACTCAGGTCCTGCCCATAAAAGAAAAGCACGCCATTGTTTGTCTTTGTATTTAGAACTTTTCAGAAGTGCTGGACATTGACAACTTGCTTTTTGAAACAATTAATCTTAAATAGGCCTGGAATCTGCATTTCAAACAAAGGTCTTTAAGGGATTGTTAGGCAAATACAGTTTGAGAATTATGCTATCTACTATACAATTATACAATAAAATGGCACCTTAGAAAATGTTATGCGTAAATGTAACTCAGATATGTAAATGGTAAACATTTGCTAGGGAAGGAACAGATAAAATCAGCCACATGTTTATGGTTTTTCAACAAGTGTCACAAAAATAATAGAGCAAAGAAGCTGAAAAGAAACTGAAGAGATACTTTTTTCTAACTCTTTGCATTGTTGTAGTGTTTAACAACGTTATTAAATCTTTTTTTTTTTTTTTGAAACAGGGTCTCACTTTTTTGCCCAGGCTGGAATGCAGTGGCGTGATCTCAGCTCACTGTAACCTCCGCCTCCTGGGTTCAAGCTATTTTCTTGCCTCAGCCTCCCAAGTAGCTGGGACTATAGGCGCGTGGCACCACGCCCAGCTAATTTTTGTATTTTTAGTAGAAACGGGGTTTCACCATGTTGGCCAGGCTGGTCCGGAACTCCTGACCTCAAGTGATCTGCTCGCCTCGGCCTCCCAAAGTGCTGGGATTACAGGTGTGTGCCACCATGCCTGACCTATTAAATCTTTTAACAAATAAAATATGTCTTGAATATTTTTTTTTAAATCGAACAGGACATTTGCTAAATGTTAAAAAAAGGATAGTTACTTTCGGCTAGGCATGTTGGCTCATGCCTGTAATCCCAGCAGTTTGGGAGGCCGAGGCGGGCGGATCACCTGAGGTCGGGAGTTCGAGACCAGCCTGACCAACATGGAAAAACCCTGTCTCTACTACAAATACAAAATTAGCCGGGCATGGTGGCGCATGCCTGTAATCCCAGCCACTCAGGAAGCTGAGGCAGGAAAATCGCTTGAACCCGGGAGGCGGAGGTTGCGGTGAGCCGAGATCACGCCACTGTACTCCAGCCTGGGCAACAAGAGTGAAACTCTGTCTCAAAAAAAAAAAAGGATAATTACTTTCACATAAGCTGTGACTGCCTGCTTTCATTTCTAGCTATCACAATTAGCTGTTACTGTCATTCAAGAAGTTTTCCTTAGTTTTGAAATTAACTATTAAAATTAATTTGGAATATTTTTATTTGCCTCTGAAGTTAATTGTACTATTCACGTATTAATCTTGTGTTCAGACTTTTCATTTTCATTTATAAAATAATTTTTCCCTCTACGTGTTTGGAGTAGATGACAATCAGGATTATAATAGGCCTGTTATCAACAAAAAACATAAAGATCTAATAAAAGATTGGGCTCTCAGTTCTGCTGCAGCAGTAATGGAAGAAAGAAAACCACTGACTACATCTGGATTTCACCACTCAGAGGTATACATCTCTTCTGTGTACCTACTTGAATGCATAAAGCATAAATTCTTTTTTTTTTTTCTTGTGTGAGACAGAGTTTCACTCTGTTGCCCAGGCTGGAGTGCAATGGCAGGATCTCGGCTCACTGCAGCCTCTGCCGTCTGAGTTCAAGTGATTCTCCTGCTTCAGCGTCCCAAGTAGCTGTGATTACAGGCGTGCACCACCATGCCCAGCTAATTTCATATTTTTAGTAGAGACAGGGTTTCACCATGTTGGTCAGGCTGGTCTCGAACTCCTGACCTCAAGTGATCCACCCGCCTCAGCCTCCCAAGGTGCGAGGATTACAGGCGTGAGTCACCACACTCGGCCTGAATTCTTATCATTTGTAAATTACATTATTTTAAGCAATTAATGTATCTCCTTGTAAAATGCTTCTAAAAACTAAATTTTTATAAATTTATTTTCTAATGAAAGCCTAAAGCAATTTTGCAGTAATTCAACTTTAATTTTTATTAGGTTTTAGAAATATTCATTTGTCAATGAGGAAAATATTAGGTTTCAGTAAGCAGTTAATGAGCTATATGCTCATGGTTCTGATTGGCATTATGAGATAAAACAAGAAACATATCCTGCTTATACTTTCTTAGAAGTATATGTTTCCTGTATATCATACCAGGAAACACGTACGAGGGCACTGCCTGATAGATACAGTTTATATAACTCAGTAACTGCAAATACAGTACAGCCCAGGATATAATTAGAATAATATGAAATTAATTAAGGATTGCTTGGTTAAGATAATTACAGAGTCAGTAGGCATAGTAGAGCTAGAAAGATCTGACCCAGAGCTGCCACTTTTAGCTCAAAGCTTTTGAATCAGTCACTTCTCCCTTATCTTCTGTTTTCTCATCTACACAAATGGCATTTTTGATAAAATCTATTTACAGAGAATTTAACGAAGTATATAAAGCATCCAGCATAGTACTTGCCTGAGATTTATGCACTTAACAAATGTTTTTTACCTTTATCAGAAATGATATTAGAATTTCATACCACATTGATGTGTCAAAAAGAAATGTAAAAAAGTATCTAAGGCATAAGTATTAATTATTATTTATTCAGATAATAAGAGCTAACCTTCAATGGAAGCTTTTGTTCTCTGACTCATGCTATATTGTCTCTCAGGAAATGAGTTAATTTGTAATATACAAATATAAATTAATAGAAAATAGAAAATAAAAGAAGAAAACAAAATATAAAAGAAAATCAAGGTATAAATAAAGAAAATATAAATAAAATGTTACATTTGTAGGAAGTATAAATAAGATTTGTTTCTTACATACAGGTAAATAGACCTATATGTTTGTTTGTTTATTAATGTTAAAATTGTTTCTTTATATGGCCTATTTCCTGAAAACTGTCAAAGCAATTACTGTATTTTAGTGCTCATTATTTCCCTGTGATTGGGAGAATTTTTATTCTGGTTTCTGTTTTATGAGATACTTAATTTACCTATTGAAAGCAGGTGATAGTTATTTGAGGCAATATGTTGCCATTCTGAGTAACCCAGGAATTCATTTTGGTAAATGTGAATTTAAACAGACTCTCTTCTTTCTTCTCTATTCCTTCAACCCCTGCCAAGCAAAAGCTATAGCCCTGGTAGGTTCCTTTGTAGGAATTACCTAACATTACCTAACAGGACATTTAGAACACTCTTCACAGAATGGTTTTACATACGCGTGTGTCAGTGACACTCATACTGTTGGTATTCTTAGCATGGTCCACATGGCTCTGGTACCACCTTCACTACTCAGAAATGTGGGCAGGTAACAGAAAACCTTGGATGGGATTAAGGATGCAGCAGGCTTTGGTATCCTTAGGAGGCTTCACTGTATGTGTGTCATTCTCTATACTTGCTATTCTTTTTTTTTTGAGACAGAGTCTCCCTCTGTCACCCAGGCTGGAGTGCAGTGGTGCCATCTCGGCTCACTGCAACCTCTGCCTCCCGGGTTCACACGATTCCCCTGCCTCAGCCTCACAAGTAGCTGGGACTACAGGTGCATGCCACCACGCCTGGCTAATTTTTGTGTTTTTAGTAGAGACGAGGTTTCGCCATGTTGGCCAGGCTGGTCTCGAACTCCTGACCTCAGGTGATCCACCCGCCTTGGTCTCCCAAAATGCTGGGATTACAGGCGTGAACAACCACACCTGGCCTATACTTACTATTCTTACCTACTATTCTTGAAATCTTATAGTGATTTATCTATTTGAAGTCTTCACTTCTTCAGTGTTTAGCTTGTCATTATTAATGTATTAAATCTGGCACTTTTTTTTTTCTTTTTGAGACGAAGTCTCGCTCTGTTGCCAGACTGGAGTGCAGTGGCACGATCTCAGCTCACTGCAACCTCTACCTCCTGGGTTCGAGCAATTCTCCTGCCTCAGCCTCCCGAGTAGCTGGGATTACAGTCATATGCCACCATGCCCAGCTAATTTTTGTATTTTTAGTAGAGACAGGGTTTCACCATGTTGGCCAGGGTGGTCTCGATCTCCTGACCTCGTTATCCACCTGCCTCGGTCTCCCAAAGAACTGGGATTACAGGCATCAACCATCACACCCGGCCCAAATCTGACACTCTTAATAAAATATTTGTTGTGACTAGTTGGTAATAAAGTTTCCGTCGTAGCTTTCCACTCCCTAGTTGTCATTACAGTTTTCATATGAAGCCTTGGCTTGTCTTGGATTTTCATTGAGAGGTGTCATTTTTAGTAACATAGTTTTTTTCAGAGAAGACCTTTATTTTCTAGAGAATTTTCATTTTATATAAGAGAAAATGTAATCAATGATAATATAGCAAGGTGAGGTTTAATTATGGGTTTGTATGACAAGTTAATGTGACTAAATGAAATAGTCTTTCATGAGACTCAGATATGACCAGGCTGCATGATTTTGTTTTCTTATTTTTCTCCTTTAGGAAGGCACATCTTCATCTGGAAGCAAACGCTGGGTTTCACAGTGGGCTAGTTTGGCTGCCAATCATACAAGGCATGATCAAGAAGAAAGGATAATGGAATTTTCTGCACCTCTTCCTTTAGAGAATGGTATTCTCTTTCTCTCTTTCATTCTTTATCCCTTTTTTCTTCTCTTTCTCCATTTCTCTCTCTTTCTCTTACTCTTCTCTGCTTTTTTGTGAATCATATATCAGTTGTTATTATAAAAAACAAGCCAAATCTATATAGTAAGAAGTTAAACCTAAATAAACATATTCACATATTCTCATGCTGATAAATGAATTTATTTTATAAGTAAAAGGCTGATTTTTATTAGATATTGTATATTTTGGGGGATTTTAAGCAGGGGACAAATTCAAAGTGATAAAACTCTTTTTTGAGAAATTTAGTGGACTTCGTAAGTTGAGACTTCCTAAGGACAGGTGGACAGACACCAGCTTGGATTTAATATTTCATTCCGAGGCACTTTTCATTTTAGTTGTAAATTTCTGCTGTTGAAAATAAGAATGGTTTTTAAATTTTGTCTTTACTTTTAAATGAAAATTCTTCCTACTCTTTCTGATATGCTGATATCTTAAGATATGATTTTGACTAATGATGCAGCTATTATTCAAGTATAATCTTAACTGAAGATAAGGAAATAATTTTTAGATGAAGCATATATAGGTGTGTGTATATATTACATATAAAGATGAAGCACATATATATTATATATATAAGTTAAAATTTAAAAATAAGCTGAAGACAGGTCCAAACGATTTCATTCATAAATACAACAGATATTTATTGAGTGCCTACTTCATGTGGTACATTTAGTGAAAAAGAAATTAATAATCTTACAAATCTATGTAGTATGATTTTTATTACCTTTTATATTTCTGTGAACAGAAATATAAAGGCTTTTTAAACAAAATGAAGTTGTGTACCTTCAAGGATTTCATTATTACTTTTTGTTCATTAGTTTTCTAATTAACAATAAGACCCTGAAAGGAGGATGAGGAGATGATGGTCAAAAGGTACAAAAATCTCAGTTAGACAGGTGGAAGAAGCTTTTTTTTTTCCTGAGGTCTACTGCACAGCATGGTGAATATAGTTAATAATATAGTATTGTACATTTTAGATGTTCTCATCACAAAAAGTGTTAACTCTTTGAGGTGATGAATATGCTAAGTAGCTTGATTTAATTATTTCACATTGTATTTATGGTCAACATTTTATACACCATAAACATATACAAATATAAATTGTCAACTTACAATAAAAAATTAAAAAACTTATCCAAGTTGAAAAATAAATACTCACTTATAGTTAAAAAGCAAAAAGACTCTCAATGAGATTTTGTATGTGGCTTTTATCTGTTTTCTTAATTTCATTCTGGTTGAAAATGGAAATTTGTTTTGTCTCAGGCTTGTGGCACCCCAAAAATCTGTTTTAAGAATTTTGTAAGTATTAGAAGTATTTGAGGAAGCTACATAGCAGTGTACTAGAAAAGCTACATCATTTATTTATATTAGAATCTAGAAGTTATTGATAGTATTACCAAAAATTCTTTTGAGGGAACAGAGTCATTTGGTTCATATAAACTGTGTTTAGGAAACAAAGAAACCAGACAGAAGGCTAGATAAATTTACCAAAGAATCTGTTATAAAATTATTAAGTATTATCTGTGAAAAGCAAAGTTCTATCCTTCTTTTAAAAAATAATAGACCACTTAGCTTTCATGATCTCATTTCTATGTCATCATATTTAAATGAACTTATTTACATAAGCTGATAAATCCACTTAAATAATAAAATGTTTTTGTTAAACATATTGAATGTATATGAGGAGGGGGCAGTATGAGAAATACTGGAAAAATACAAAAGGGTAAAGTAGCCATTACATTCTAGATGCTTCAGTTAGCACTAAGGAGATAAGATATATGAAAGAAGAAACAAAACAAGATATAACATGATTAATGACTAAATTAAAGTTAAATCTATCAGTTCAGTATGGATTTTCCTCCATCACATCCATTGTATTGATATGATATTTAAATACTAAACTTTTAGGATTATAAAGAGAAAAAAAAGACCCACAGAAGCTATATCTAGTATCTTTTCTCCATTTATCCCTAAAAGATTAGGAAGCTTTATATGTTAATTTATATTTCCCTGAAAAGATGTTTCCCTTTTCTCAGAAATACATTCCATTTTTAATAGTCAGGAAAATCCTTAAATATTCTCAAATTCTCTCATGTGGAAAAATCAAAATATATATTTTCTCATTGGCTTCTACTTGAAAAAAAAGAAAGGGATTTTGTATGTCCACATGTGGCATTAATAACCAGAAGACTATAATTTAAAAATTCCTCAATTTATAAAATTTTGCTATGCCCTAACTATGAAAAGTCTGCTGTTACATACTTACAATTTTTAAAATTCTTTTAATCAGCTATAGATTTTTTTAAAATGTTAAAAGTTCTGCATTTTTCACTTTACTTAGGAAATCCAAAATTATCATTCTTTCAAGTAGATAATACTTTTTAAAAACTAGATATGTTGTTCTTCTCTACTATGTAGTTGAAAATATAGAAAATAAACAATGTTTATTTGACATTCTCTGTATAAATCTACAATAGATTCTGGTTTTTTGAGCAAACCTCAAGGATGGAAAGTCACAAAAGTGAGAATGAACACAGTGAACTTCCCTTCTATAAAACACATTAAGAGGAAAGAAGAGCAATATATTTAGGTTTAATATCAGATGACCCTTTTATACCATTATGACTATAGTTAATAACAATGCCTTGTGTATTTGAAATAGCTGAAAGTAGATCTTAAATGTTCTCACCACAAAAAAGATAAGTACGTGAGGTAATGGATATATTAATTAGCTTGACTTAGCCATTCCATAATGGTATACATATATCAAAACATCATGTTATACACCACAAATATATATAATTTTTGTCAATTCATAAATAGAAAATTAAATATATGAAAGGAGAAAAATGATCAGATGACTCTAATTTTCATCTCATACAATTGGCCTTCCTGACTTCTCTAGGAATTGCTTATTTGTGCAGCTTGAAATTGTACTTAAACTACTTAGTCACAATGCTGGCTCGTTTGTTTTGTATACTTAAGTCATTTTTAACTTACATCTCAAAATGTAATGTAATACAGCTGGCCCTCTCTATCCATAGGTTTTGTATTAGTGGGTTTTGCATCTGTGAATTCGACTGAGGATTGAAAATATTTGAGAGGGAAAAAGAAATGATTGTGTCCCCACTGAACGTGTATAGTCTTTATTTTTTTGTACTTATTCACTAAGCAATACAGTATAACAACTATTTACATAGCTTTTACATTGTATTAGGTATTATAAGTAATCTAGAAATGATTTAAAGTATATGGGAGGGTGTGAGTAGGTTATATACAAATATTATACCACTTTATATAAGGTACTCAAGCATCCTTGGGATTTGGTATCCTGGGGGAGTAAGGGGCCTGGAACCAGTCTTCGTGGATACTGACAGACAACTGTATGATGCTCCTTTTATTTTTATTTTTTTTGTCTTAATCAATTCCTTCTTTGTGGTTTTTATTTTATAGAGACAGAGATCAGTGAGTCTGGCATGACAGTGAGAAGTACTGGCTCTGCAACTTCCTTGGCTAGCCAGGGAGAGAGAAGGAGACGAACTCTTCCCCAGCTTCCAAATGAAGAAAAGTCTCTTGAGAGCCACAGAGCAAAGGTTGTAACACAGAGGTCAGAGATAGGAGAAAAACAAGACACAGAACTTCAGGAGAAAGAAGCACCTAAACAGGTATACCAGAAAGATAAACAAGATGCTGACAGACCCTTGAGTAAAATGAACAGGGCAGTAAATGGAGAGACTCTCAAAACTGGTGGAGATAATAAAACCCTACTTCACTTAGGCAGCTCTGCTCCTGGAAAGGAGAAAAGTGAAACTGATAAGGAAACTTCTTTGGTAAAGCAAACATTAGCAAAACTTCAACAAGAACAAAGGGAGGAGGCTCAGTGGACACCTACTAAATTGTCTTCCAAAAATGTTTCAGGTCAGACAGATAAATGTAGGGAGGAAACTTTTAAACAAGAATCACAACCTCCAGAAAAAAATTAAGGACATTCTACAAGCAAAGGAGACAGAGTGGCACAAAGTGAGAGCAAGAGAAGAAAAGCTGAGGAAATTCTGAAAAGTCAGACTCCAAAGGGAGGAGACAAGAAGGAATCCTCCAAGTCATTAGTGCGACAAGGGAGCTTCACTATAGAAAAACCCAGCCCAAACATACCCATAGAACTTATTCCCCATATAAATAAACAGACTTCCTCTACTCCTTCTTCTTTAGCATTAACATCTGCAAGTAGAATACGAGAAAGAAGTGAGTCTTTGGATCCTGATTCTAGTATGGACACAACCCTTATTCTAAAAGACACAGAAGCAGTAATGGCTTTTCTAGAAGCTAAACTACGTGAAGATAATAAAACTGATGAAGGACCAGATACTCCCAGTTATAAGAGAGACAATTCTATTTCACCAGAATCTGATGTAGATACAGCTAGTACAATCAGTCTGGTTACTGGAGAAACTGAAAGAAAGTCAACCCAAAAGCGAAAGAGTTTCACTAGCCTCTATAAAGATAGGTGTTCCACAGGTTCTCCTTCCAAAGATGTTACAAAATCATCATCTTCAGGTGCTAGGGAAAAAATGGAAAAGAAAACAAAAAGTCGTTCCACAGATGTGGGTTCAAGAGCAGATGGTCATAAATTTGTTCAGTCCAGTGGGAGAATAAGACAGCCTTCAGTAGACTTAACAGATGATGACCAAACCTCTAGTGTACCTCATTCTGCCATCTCTGATATTATGTCATCTGATCAAGAAACTTACTCTTGTAAACCTCATGGACGGACTCCACTTACCTCAGCTGATGAGCATGTACATTCCAAACTGGAAGGAAGTAAAGTAACGAAATCTAAGACTTCTCCGGTGGTATCTGGTTCATCTAGTAAATCAACCACCCTTCCAAGGCCGCGACCTACCAGGACTTCCCTCTTGCGCAGAGCACGACGTGGTGAAGCTTCAGACAGTGAACTTGCCGATGCTGACAAAGCATCTGTTGCTTCTGAAGTATCCACAACAAGTTCTACATCAAAACCTCCCACAGGAAGGCGTAACATCTCTCGGATTGATTTATTGGCTCAGCCTCGTAGAACACGACTTGGCTCACTGTCAGCTCGTAGTGACTCTGAAGCAACAATTTCTAGAAGTAGTGCCTCTTCGAGGACCGCAGAAGCCATCATTAGAAGTGGAGCCAGACTAGTACCATCAGATAAATTTTCTCCTAGAATTAGAGCTAACAGTATCTCTCGACTCTCAGACTCCAAGGTTAAAAGTATGACCTCAGCTCATGGCTCTGCTTCAGGTAAATTGGATCCAGATTTCTAATAGCATTAGCATGTTGTATATTTGGGGGCTCCTTTTTTTTTTTTGAAAAAAAGGTAAGGTTCTAGTTGTCTTCCCAAGATACTCATTCAAAACAAAAGTTATGATATATGGGGCAGTGGCGGGGGTGGGGGGAGGTCTATAAAACAGTTTTATTTAGCATAGTAAATGGAAAATCAGAAGTTATATATACTTCCAATTAGAGTCCTGGCGCAAAATAGTGATTTCAAAATTAGGAATTCATTGAGCTGATTTAGGAGTTTTAATTTTCCAGTTGGTGATATATTTGGATGTGTGTGTCAAAATTAAATTATCTGGAATTATCTGGTTTAAAGTATAGGAATTAACATTGTGCTTCTAAAAGCATGTGTTTAACCTTTAAATATCCTCACATAATTCAAAGCCCTTAAGAACTTGAAGAAAAGCAGTGTATGCTTTATTACTCTTTCAGAGTTAAATGAAATAATCAATGTTTTGTTCTTTTTTTCCCCTACCCATTTTGAAATGTCTCACATACTTTACCTATACTTTTTAAAGTTAAATCTGTTTATAGTTGGAGCAGGTGAAAACTAACCTTAATTTATTTCAGTGGAAGAAGATGGATTCATGGGGAATCACTCAGCATATATTGGCCAAACTGGGCTGTAGAAATTTAACTGGTTATGAGCATTATATCACAAAGTGCTGTTATATCATTTAACTCTAGTAATTAGGTGTAATTGAATATAATAACTACAAAAACTACTTACTTTCCACCAGAATTTAACTGATGCTGTTATATTTGTTTGCTTATGTGCTTTGTATTCAGAGCTGAAGCCATTGAGATACATGTGTGACCAAAGAGTGATGAGGTGGATATTTCTTTGTGTCCTATATGCATGTTCTCATTACTTCATAATGAGCCTCATATGTGGGCGTGGCTGCAAAGGCCAGTGTGGGAGGCCAGCTGTTACAACAGACTTGAAGATGTGTGATTATTTTCAGTAGGCAGACATCTAAGTAAGCCCTAAGTCTTGAGTTAAGAGTGGAGGGGAATTGATATGAAATTTCATCTTTTTATTTTTGATTGGTTTACATCTACCACACCATATCCTACAAGACCCTAAAGGAACAGTACTTTGCATATGATACTTTTTTCACTTTTCTTCCTCTTTTCACTGCTGCTTTCCTCCACTCCATTCACCTGTATCTCTTTGCTGGTCAGTGGGTTTGGTAATGATGGTCACTGTCTATGGTAGAAATGGACGTAGGGTGAAGCCAGATAACATATAATCATGATTCCAAAAAAAAATAGACAACATTTTCCTTATTACCCCAGTCCTCATTTCCACACTTGAAGCTTTGGTTGGTGGTTCACAAATTTATTGCCAAATATTTTAAAACTAACTACTACATTTTGGTTTATTTTCATTCTGTTTTTGGTTATGGCTATACTTCTTCAATTCACATTTCATCTGTGCTGCATTTCCTGATGAAATTTCTTCTGCTGTACTCCTTGTTTTATCACCTCATCTCCATTAAGATATGTATGTATTTTCCTGTCTTAACATAATTTCTATGTTACCAGGTAGCTTGGAGTACCTCTTAACACATGATGTGGTTTTATTCCTCGATATTTAGGATAAGGCTTGAGATGCAAGCTAAATATGATTACTTCAGCAAGTCTAAGAAACAACTGTAAGATGCTATATATAAAGACAGATTTCATTTTCTGCTTCTTTGAATACAGAACTTGATAAATATTCAGTTTTCTGTGTCCAAAAATAACCTTGAATTGTGTATGAAATTCCCTAGGACACATTGATGTATATGATTTTAGTCTTTTCGTACTTACTAGCAGTATATTAAATAATTAGAATCATGGAATTTAAAAGTTAGAAGGATTATTCCCTTAAGGGAACCAAGGCCAAGAGAGGAAATAACCTGCCCTGGGCACATGGCAGTGGCAGGGGCAGAATAAGAATCAAAGACTTTTAATCCCCAGCCTGTTGTTTTTCTACCGTATCTATTCTAGCTCTAAGAAATAGTTTCAGTGTTTACTTGTATGCAAGCTTCCAGAAGACAGCTAGAATCTACTGGATTATTATCAGGAGTATATGCAAGGTCAATATACAATATAAAGGTTTTGGTATTGTTTACTAAAATCTTTGCAGTTCTGATGTTTTACCCAGTTTATATTCTCTATTCCACCTTATGAGTGTAAAGCCACATTGTAATCTAGGATTGTATATTCAGATTCTCTCAAGATACCCACTTATAGTATTAGATCTTCTCTAGGACAGTGGCCAGGATCTTTCCTTCAGTGAGAACATACTATAATAGCTGTATGGAAAAGGTGGTCAAACAAACAAACAAACAAACCTACCTGTTTGATTTTGCTAATTTAGGTGCCTTTGATATTATAATATTTCTGTTTAAGATAATTATAATATTTTGAATGGAAAAAGAAAAGAAAAATTTTAACTTTTGAAACATGATTTAAAAGAATGTTAAATCATGCCGATCAGTGTTGCTGTGCACAGTATAAACTTTAAAGACCTTGGAAATAATCTGAACCTAGCACTTGTGATATTGTCCCAATTGGATATGTAAAAATAATTCCATAATGTTTCCAATTCCATATTTTAGATGATGTCTCTAAAATATTTTTAGGCCAGCACAGTGTTTCATGCCTGTAATCCCAGTATTTTAGGGGAGGCCAAAGTTGGAGGATTACTTGAGCCCAGGAGTTCAAGGTGCAGTGAGCTGTGATCACACTACTGCATTCTAGCCTCGGACAAGTGAGACCCTGTCTCCATTAAAAAAAAGTTTTTTTTAAAGAAATGTATGTGATAAAAATAGAAGATTGGAAATCTCAGATTTAGCAATATGAAGAGAAGAGTTCTGTATGTTTCTCTGATGTAATTTGCAATTTGCTTCTAGGAGTTTAACTAGTTTTTTTTCCCCAAAACATTCTTTCAATGCTTCTTTTTTTTTTTTTTTTTTTTTGAGTCGGAATCTTGCTCTTGTTGCCCAGGCTGGAGTGTAATGGCACAATCTCGGCTTACTGCAACCTCTGCCTCCTGGATTCAAGTGATTCTCCTGCCTCAGCCTCCCAAGTAGCTGGGATTACAGGTGTGTGCCACCATGCCCGCCTAATTTTTGTATTTTTAGTAGAGGAGAGGCTTCACCATATTGGGCAGGCTGGTCTGTCCTCCCGTGTCAGCCTCCCAGAGTGCTGGCATTACAGGCATGAGCCACTGCGCCCAGTCTCCTTCAGTGATTCTTGATATCAAGTTGTAACTGAAATATCCAGATTTATTTTGGCAAGATATATTTAAATTTAAAGACCTTGAATTATCAAAATAAAGCACTTGGTTTTCATTATGTTTTAAGTGCACGTTTTAGAAAATAAAAACATTATGTTAATATCCTTAGAATTTTTTTGGACTGTTTGCAGTCCCTTTTTAATTCTAATCTTCAAAATTTATAGGCAGTAGAAATTAAATGTTAGACATGCATGGCTTGAATTAACTCTTTCTCCAGGTCAAAGGACAAAACAGAGCATTGTCAGCAGTTTTTCTCCCCAACTGATCTTATTGCTGAATGCTCATAAATATACATTCAAAACATGTTTGTGGTAATTTTCCACTAAAATATTCTGATATTGTATGAAGATGCAATGTGTGTTTTCTGAAGCGTGTTTGCAAAATCTATAGTTGTATGTTTTAATGCCAACAAAGAAATTGGAACATTCACAGAAATATGATACTAACAACTCTTTTTTTCCTTTTTAAGTCTCTAGACATCATAAATGATAGTATATTTTTGTAGTGAATATAGTAGTTTAGTACTACAACACAAGAGGGAATGTTGCCTATTTTATAATTAAAAAATAAATTTTGTAATGAATGCTGTAGCTCTAGCTACAAGCTTAATCAAGCCCATCTTGGAACTTTCATTTTAATATATATGCTGTCTAGGCCTTTACTAACGAATAAGTCTCTTAGAGATAGGCATTTCAAACACCTTCAAATGCCTTAGTAATATCAACCCATCAAATGAGCCTAATAATATATTAAGAAAATCAAATTTATTTTTATAAACTGTTACTTAAGCTGAATAAAATTCAAGAGAAAGAAATAAAATTTTTCTTCAACACAGGTAGAAATCAGAAAAACTATCATTACTTGAGAAATTTAGGATGTCTTTTTAAAACAACTTGGCCGGGCACGGCAGCTCATGCCTATAATCCTAGGACTTTGGGAGGCTGAGGCAGATGGTTTACCTGAGGTCAGGAGTTCGAGATCAGCCTGGCCAACATGGTGAAACTCCATCTCTACTAAAAATACAAAAATTAGCCAGACATGGTGGCAGGTGCCTGTAATTCCAGCTACTCTGGAGGCTGAGGCAGGAGAATTGCTTGAACCTGGGAGGTGGAGGTTGCAGTGAGCCAAGATGGCGCCATTGCCCTCCAGCCTGGGTGACAGAGGGAGACTCCATCTCAAAAAAGAAACACACACACACACACAAAAAAAACCTTACTGGAAACAAAAATGTAGAATGTATACAACACTTGGAATATCAGAGAATTCGTTTTGAACTCTGGGAGTCCATAGACCTGGCTTATACTTTGATTTTAGCAAGGTAAGACCTCTCTGGGCCTGTTTCTTCTCTTTAAATGGAAGAATTTAGACTCATGTCAAAGGCCATTCTTCTAAAATTTTATGAAATAAGTAGATGGGGGAAAATTTAAAATATTTTAACTTGAAGTTTATTTGGTGTTAATTAGCAGGTGATAGGGAATTTTCTTTAGAAAAAAAAGGTTAGGTAGCTGCTACAGTTTGGAAGCAAATGTTAAGAAAGCAAAAAGTTTTGAAATAAATTCTTTGAGAAATAACAGGTTAGAGGGCCTAGCATTGAACTCCCTTTCCCAGTCCCTTCTCCACCAGTAGCCATCATTTCACTCAGTCTCAGCTCTGCTCTTTGTCGTTACACAGACTGTGTCCAGAGTTAACTGGAGCTTTTCTTCATAGCATCCCATGTGTGATATGTTTTCCACTGGCAAAGGGAGCTCTTAATTACTTAATGATTTTTAATCACATTTTTATTTCTCTGCTGTATGCTGATTATCCAGTTTCCTCCTCAATTTTAAAGAGCGTACCTAAAGATGTTACCTTTTACTTTTTAAAATATGCTGTATTCGTTTGATTTTTTTTCTTTTTGTTTTATTTTTGTTTTTGAGACGGAGTCTGGCTCTGTCACCAGGCCACAGTGCAGTGGTGCGATCTCAGCTCACTGCACCCTCCGACTCCAGGGTTCACGTGATTCTCCTGCCTTAGCCTCCCGAGTAGCTGGGATTACAGGCGCGCACTACCACGCCTGGCTAATTTTTGTATTTTTAGTAGAGTGGGGTTTCACCATGTTGGCCAGGAGGGTCCCGATCTCTTGACCTTGTGATCCGCCCACCTCAGCCTCCCAAAGTGCTGGGATTACAGGCGTTAGTTAGCCACTGCGCCTGGCCCCTGATTGCTTTTAAAATATATTATTAGTAGCTTTACTATGCTTACTGACTTCTAGGTAGACCAGCCTATGAAAAGAGATGGAAAGTTTGTGAAAAGGAAGTTTTTCTCGTACTTTTTTCCTCAAAGTGTAATTGCATTTTGATCCTAAGCTCAGACTATTAAAAGTTGATTCTAGCATGGCTCTACTTACATGTGATCACCTGACATTTAACGTATATTAATAGCACTTGGTACTCAATTTCTCATTCTGCTTTCATGTAGTCTGCCACGAAATATATCAGCCATCGATGCCATTCTTTCTAAGTTACCTCAAAATTAACTGTCTTAGTTTTATCATACTTACATTTTCATATGTTCTGCAGTTATTAAAGCTCTTTGTTAATTGCTTTTCTTTTCTCTCTAGTTTCCAATCATATGTATAGTGACCATAGTTGCCTAATCAAAAATCAGGACATTTGATATAACAAATGATTTTTTTCTTATTTATGAACACTATTGTAAGATAGCACAATAAACACACATTTAGCATTTAATGAAATGTTTTTTTGAAAAGTACAAATTTGTTTACACTATTTCTTATTTTGCCTGCTGTATTTCTTAAGTTTTTTCTAAACCTCTTTACTCTTGTTCTAAACTTTTCCCAAAATTGGTTTCAAGTCTCAGGATCACTTCAACTCACGGAAGTTTTTATATCTAGAAATGAGTACATTATCACCATGGTAAAAGTATTATCTATGTTAATAAATTATCTTACAGTGTTAAAATCAGAAATTATATTTAAGCTCCTCAAAAAAGGTCTATGACTAATTACCTAGTATATGCATTTGCATACACTTTTACAGAGAGCCATGAACTTTCTGCATATGTTCATTCTGTCATACCTATGAATGAATCTAGTTCCAAACATCAGGATCTGCAAATAGGGGTGTGAATAAGGACGAATCGATAGGCTCTAATTTATGGCATATTCCTCATTGTAGAGTTCTCTGTTTCTTAAGCCAGTTCTGGTGGCAATATATGCCAGTTTTATCTGAGAGCAACCTCAGCCTTAGAGATCCCCAGATGAAAATGTAGTTTTTGGAGGAAAAGACATAAAAGGCATAAAATTAGAGTGGAGGAATTTCTGGATTCTGTGCAGCTTAGGGTCAGTTTCTATTAAAAAGGAAGAAGATGCTAAGGTTTTATCACTTTAAACACCAATAACATTTAATGCTTTTCACTAGGTTTCGGAAAAGTAAATGTTTACATCCGGGAATTCTTACATTTTTTTCAAAAATATTTGTTAAACATTTGCTAGCCAACACTCAGCTAAGTGCTAGGTATACATTATTGGATTAAACAGACATGGTTCCTGCCCTTGTTCAGTTTACCAGGAATTAGCCATTATCTTTCTTTTTTACCTCTATTTATGCTTCACAAATTATTTGCATGTTTGATTCTCATATTAACAGTAGTAAAGTGTCTGCCTTGTCTTCTGATTTTTTAAATGTGTGAGCAATACCATTTTTTTAATGTCTTTACTAACTGTAAATAAGAAAGTGATTGCCACTTTCTTTAATGTGACTCTTCACAGTATCTCCTGTGCCTTCAATGTCAATGGTTGTGACAAAAGCTTGTACAGTTTTGCTTTTTGTAGATTTTATGCCATTGTCTATTTTCACCATATGCTTTCAGTGTCAAAGCAGCAGAGAGTTGTACTGAAGATGCTTTGTTGTGTTTTTTTACCACGTAAAAAGATTTTTTCCAACCATAGCGTAACAGGATGTTGAATGACAGAGGTAATGTTTTTTTTTCTGCCATAAAGGCGTAATTTCCACAGCCAGAATTATGCACATCTGTATGTTGGGAAAAGAGAGTTTTTACCATCTCCATGTTGAAAGTCCATGTGGCATGAGGAAATCTTTTCCCTTGTTTTTATTTTTGTTGTCGTTGATGTTGTTACTTTTTTTTTGAAAAATTCATATTTTCACTCAAATAAGAAATATTTGCAATTGAAAAGTACTCCAGTTAAACATCGATGGATAGAACTTGCTTAGTCGTTTATGATTAGTGAAATTTTTCATCTGAATGTTTACTCACCACACTATGGAAAACATGGTCTTTCGATTGTTTTTGATTCTTCATTGTTTTTAATTCACCGAAGTGTAATGTTTCTATCTCTAAAGAGTAGTAGACTTATGGTTTTTGTGAGGTATGTGTACGTCAGTTATTGAAAATTGTGCTGTGTGTGCGCTCTCATGGTGTTTTGAAGTCATGACTTTTATTTTACCTCCTTTAAATGATAACATAATAATTTTTTTTAATAATTAAACTAATTTAGTAAATTCAAGATGGAGGCGCTTTCCTACTGGTTATGCTTCCACCTCAGAAGATGAATTTGGATCAGACCATAATTCCCCTAAACATACCCGTCTATGTACTTCTCCAGCCCTGAAAACCACTCGCTTGCAGAGCGCTGGATCAGCAATGCCTACTAGTTCTTCATTCAAACACCGGATTAAAGAGCAGGAAGACTACATCCGAGATTGGACTGCTCATCGAGAAGAGATAGCCAGGTTGGTTTTCAGGACTTATCTTTAAGAATTGAAAATTTCTATGAACATTACAACTTGGTAACAAAGTTTAGCTTGTACTTGATTTTTACTAATAGTCTAAGAACTGAAATCCACAGATAACTGTGAACTCCGTTTAGTCAGTAGTATTACTCTCTATTCAGCTTTTTTTCTTTTTTTTCTATGCCTGTACCACTAACATATTGTAGAATTAATTTATTTTGACCTTTTCTCTCTCCCCCCTCCTCCCTTTTTAAGAATTTCTTTTAAAGATGGTGATAAGTAAGTGTAACTTTGAAAGGTAGGCAGTATCAGATCTACATAATTAAGAACTGCAGGCAATTTATGGATTACTTCCCTTTAAACTTCCAAAGATGTAATAGTATACCTGTTAGAGATGTGGCTACTGCTCTCTGGAGAGAATTAGGGTAAGCAGATTTTCACTCATACTTTATGAACTCATTAAGTATGGGCAGTTCAACCCTTTAGTAAGTAAAACAAAATATGACTATTTTGAAGATTAAATCTGTTTATAGTAACCTTTAGATTATGTACAAAAAAAATTTATGCTGCAGATATGATTTTTAATTAATAACTTATGGAAATTAATAACTTACTATGGCTGAACTTTGAAGAGAGATTATACTCAAGCAGATATTTTAGTAGTTAAAATATAAGGATTTTTTGTTTAAAGTTTGTGAGATGTTAGATTTTACTGCAGTATACCATATGTTACCTAAACATTTTCACTGTATACATACTAAGCTTACTTCTGTCTTTAAGACCTTAATCTTCAAGTTGTATACTTGAGGACATTATTAAAGAGTTTATACATAATATTTCATAGATGCTTTTAAAAAACAAGAAACTTTTACTCTATGTTAATGTTCACCTTTTTTGTTCTTTATTTCATTGACTTCTGTGAATTGTGTTTTTTCTGGCTCATTGGTTTGATGTAATGTTTAGTTTTTTATTTTTAAAGATTATTCACTTGTCATTGCTTTTATTCTTGGAGAGAACATGCCTTTCTAATCTCATTGTGCTGCTTAAAACATTTTTGCTTTATCATACAAATAGCTTTTTAGGAGAGTAATTACTGAAGCATTTTAAGCCAGTTGTTCTAGTTAGAGGAAAGGCATATATGTGCTTTGGGATCCATGGATCATAATGGGCCAACAAAATGCTTGTAGTGAGAGCATCTTGACACATTTTTTGTACTTCCAGGCGCTGCTAGCAACAACAGGTCTTACTCTTGTCTCATCATTTTTCCCCTTCCCTTGAAAAAGGTGTCCAGCTACACAAGATCCAGTGGTGCCTGTATGTCTAGATGCCTCCTGGCAGGAGGCCTCCTCTCTCAAGCTCCCTCTACCCCAAACTAGAAAGACTAAAAACCTTCTTCTGAGCCAAATACACTTCCCTACCCACAAATAAAAAAACAGTTGTAATACAAAGAGAAGAGGGAATAAGGGCTATACACTGTATTTTCACTTGGTTCCATTTTGCTATGTGCATAGTGTTACTATTATCAATGTGTACGTTTTATTATCTATGGCAGGACTTTAAGAACAGGCTATTTAACCTACAGTGATGTTCATGCCTTATCCCTCCAGTTTGTCAGTAGCACTATGCTAATAAAACTTGCCTTTGGGATTTTAATTTTTCAAGTTATACTTTCCAGCTATATATCTCAAAGCCAGAGAAGTGTTTTTTTTGTTTGTTTTATGTGGAGAAAAAAGGAGGGTGGTGGAAGGAAGGAAAGACACAAAATATGGAAGGAAATGTGGATATTTAATGTTTCTATAGAGCAGTGATAAGTTTGCTTAGGGTGAGAAAATGTATTTTCAAATGGCTATGAATCACAAACTAAGTAGAATATGAGAAATAATTTTATTTATTTAAATGAACTACTGTCACCTAAAAGACTCCTGTGCTGAGAGCAATATTTGAAGAGTAAAGACACTTTTATTTGAAAAATATAATAGTGATTTTTAATTTATTACAAAAATGTTTTATGCTTTAGCATACTCTTTCTGTTTAGAATTTAGGACTATTTCACTTGATCAGCACTTTGTTAATCTGTACATAGTAACTGTTTACCTGCATTTAAATTTAAAGCACAAAAGCAAGCTCCATTTAGAATATGAAGTGTATAAGCGAGATATGGCATATTTGGCCTTCAGTTTGATGAGGGAAGGTTTCTTTCAGGTATCCCTGATGCATATGCTTTCGTAGCTCCTGCCTCAGTTTCTCTGTTATGAAAACAGATATTGACTTCCATCGAGTAGGAATGTAAGACATGATGCAGGTTTTTATGAATATTAGGGTAAACAGAGCTACAATACCAGCTTTACAGATGACCAAATGAAATACATTCAACCTAAAAATTATACTGGAAGATTATCTACAGTAACACCTCTAAGATAGTACAGGTTTGGTTTCAGACCGCTATAGTAAGGCAAATATCTCAAAGCAAGTCACACAATTTTTTTTTCCTAGTGCATGTAAAAATTATGTTCACACTATACTGTATGCAGTAACACTGCTTCTTAAAAAAAGTATATACCTAAACAAGTAAACATTTTATTGCTAAAAAACAGTAGTGATCATCTGAGCCTTCAGTAAGTCATCAGCTTTTTGTTGGCATAGGGTCTTACATCCCTGCTGATGACTGCGGACTTATTCAAGGGCAGTGGTTGCTGAAGGCTGGGATGACTGTGGCGATTTCTTAATTAAAAGAAGACAACAGTGAAGTCTGCCACGTTGATTGACTCTTCCTTTCATGGAAGATTTCCTTGTAGCAATGTGATGCTGTTTGATAGCATTTTACCCAGAGTAGAACTTCTTTCAAAACTGCAGTCAGTCCTCCCAGACCCTGCCGCTGGCTTATCGACTGAGTTTATGTAATATTCTGAATCCTTTGTTGTCATCTCAACAGTGCTCACAACAGCTTCACCAGTAGATTCTATTGCAAGATACCACTTTCTTTTCCCATCCATAAGAAGCAACTTCTCATCTGTTAATGTTTTACCACGAGATTGCAGCAATCCAGTCCCATATTCAGGCTCCACTTCTAACTCTAGTCTTTCTAGTTCTGTTTCTGTTTCCACCATATCTGCAGTGACTTCCTCCACTGAAGTCTTGAACCCTCAAAGTCATCCATGAGGGTTGGAATCAGTTTCTTCCAAACTCCTGTTAATCTTGATATTTTTACCTCCTCCATGAATCACAGATGTCCTTAATGGCATGTAGAATGGTGAATCCTTTCCAAAAGATTTTCAGTTTACTTTGTCCAGATCTATTAGAGGAATCATTACCTATGACAGCTATGTCTTGCAAAATGTATTTCTTAAATAAAGGAATACATTTTCTGCTTAGAAGACAAAATGGGCCAGGCACGGTGGCTCACGCCTGTAATCCCAGCACTTTGGGAGGCCGAGGCAGGCAGATCACGAGGTCAGGAGATAGAGACCATCCTGGCTAACACGGTGAAACCCCGTCTCTACTAGAAATAGAAAAAATTAGCTGGGCATGGTGGTACGTGCCTGTAGTCCCAGCTACTCGGGAGGCTGAGGCAGGAGAATTGTTTGAATCCGGGAGGCAGAGGTTGCAGTGAGCCGAGATTGTGCCACTGCACTCCAGCCTGGGCGACAGAGCAAGACTCTATCTCAAAAAAAAAAAAAAAAAAAAAATGGCTGGGCGCAGTGGCTCACGTCTGGAATCCCAGCACTTTGGGAGGTTGAGGCGGGTGGATCACGAGGTCAGGAGATTGAGACGATCTTGGCTAACATGGTGAAACCCCATCTCTACTAAAAATACAAAAAATTAGCTGGGCGTGGTGGCGGGCGCCTGTAGTCTCAGCTGCTCTGGAGGCTGAGGCAAGAGAATGGCGTGAACCCAGGAGGCGGAGCTTGCAGTGACCCGAGATGGCGTCACTGCACTCCAGCCTGGGCGACAGAGCAAGACTCCGTCTCAAAAAAAAAAAAAGTCAAAATGGCTCCTTGATCCATGGGCTGCAGAATGGATGTTAGCAGGTATGAAAGCAACATTAATCACCGTGTACATCTCCATCAGAGCTCTTAGGTAACCAGGTACATTGTCCATGAGCAGTAATATTTTGCAAATAATCATGTTTTTCTGAGCAGTACGTCTCTACAGTGGTCTTAAAATATTTAGTAAACCACACTGTAAATATGCCATAATCCAGGCTTTATTGTTCCATTTGTAGAGCACAAGCAGAGTAGATTTAGCATAATTCTTAAGGGCCCTATGACTTTTGGAATGGAAAATGAGCATTGGCTTCCAACATAAAGTCACCAGCTACATTAACCCCTAACAAGAGAGTCAGCCTGTCCTTTGAAGCTTTGAAGCTGGGCATTGCCTTCTCTCTGGCTGTGAAAGTCCTAGATGGCATCTTCTTCCAATAAAAGGCTGTTTTATCAACATTGAAAATCAGTTGTTCTTATAACCACCTTAATCAATTATCTTAGCTAGATCTTCTGGATAACTTGCTACAGCTTCTATATCAGCACTTGCTGCTTCTCTGTGCACTTTCATGTTAGGGGGATGGTTTCGTTCCTTAAGTCTCATGGACCAACCTCTGCAAACTTTTCTTCTGCAGTTTCCTCACCTCTGTCAGCATTCACAGAATTGAAGAGAGTTCAGATTTTGCTCTGGATTAGTTTGGCTTAAGGGAATGTTGTGGCTGGTTTGATCTTCTATCCAGACCACTCAGACCTTGTCCATATCAGCATTAGGCTGTTTTGCTTTCTTATCATTCCTGTGTTCACTAGAGTAGCACTTTTAATTTACTTCAAGAACTTTTCCTTTGCATTCACAACTTGGCTGTATGGCACAAGAGGCCTAGCTTTTGATGATTGCCAGAATAGTAAGACAGAATTTAAAATGGTTCCATGGTTGATCAGATGGGAGATTGGTGGGAGTAGGGAACACAAAAGGCATGGGAAAAGAAGATAGGTTGTATTTTGGTCATAATGACACCAACATGCCTAAAGGATAGCCCTGTGAAAAAAGCTAGCAGACAGTTGAACTGCGGCTGTGAAACAGTAAGCCGTGAGGGCTAGACTCATCGTTGTAGAGTCATTCGTAAAGAGTAAATACTTGGAGCTATTGTAGTAGATGGTATCACCAGGGAATGGTGAGGGAGCTGCAAATGCGGCTGAACTCTGAGATAACCTCAGTGACAGGGATGTGGTGTAGCTGAATGGTGAAGAATATGGACTCTGGACTCAGACCATATTCTTGGTCTGAGATTCAAACCCAACTCGACCACAAGGTCTGTGTGACCTAGGATGAGTTAATTAAATGTGTTCTAGTGATCTCATCTGTAAAATGGACGTAATGGTGCCAACCTGAGAGAGTTGACAAGTTGATGCACATACTTAACCTAGTGCTTGACATATAGTCAGTAGTCAATAAATGTTATATTTAAGAGGGATACAGAGAAAACAGTGGTTTATGATTATAGTTAGAACTTTATTTGGAGCTTTTAATTTTGTGTAGATCTCACACGTTTAAATTTATGAGAATCCAGATATAATTGGAATTTCAGAATCAGCATTACATTCTACAGTTTATAAAATTCTGGGCTTACCTCATTTGTGCTTAAGAATCCCAGCCAATGCTTTGTTCAAATTTCCATCCAAACTTATTTATTAAAAAATGTTTTGTCCTCCTAGTAAAAACAGTGGTATATAAGTAGTTTGTTTTTTTAATATTAAAGTGATCGTTAAATAGCCGTGTCAGCTGGGCGGGGTGGCTCACGCCTGTAATCCCAGCACTTGGGAGGCCAAGGCAGGCGGATCACCTGAGGTCAGGAGTTGGAGACCAGCCTGGGCAACATGGTGAAACCCCGTCTCTACTAAAAATACAAAAATTAGCCGGGTGTGATGGCAGGCACCTGTAATCCCAGCTACTCGGATGGCTGAGGCAGGAGAATCGTTGAAACTCGGGAAGCGGAGGTTGCAGTGAGCCGAGATCGCGCCACTGCACTCCAGCCAGGGTGACAGAGCGAGATTCTGTCTAAAAAATAGATGTATCACGGAACACCTATCAGTCCCATTCCCTGATTTGTTGGCCCCAAATGAAACTCACTTGGCATTGTAAGACAAAAAGCTTTTATTATTACTAAGTCTTTTACACATAATTTTATTAGTGAAATTCAAGTAAAAAGAATACTGATCAAATATATTTGAAAACATTTTAAAATAGAACTGTGGTTTATGTTTTTCAAAGCCTAAAATATGTACAGTTAAAGTTATGAATGAGTGATAATCTTAACAGTAAAAAACCAAATTACTTGTAATTTTACTACATTATTAAAAGCTTTGTGCTTTTATTGTTTTGTTGGTAGGAACCAATTTAATTTAGTTGTCAGAATTCAATGGTGTGGGTTTTCTTATTTTCTGTAAGGTAATATAATGCTTTTCTGTGTATTGCAATTTAGCTAACAAGTCTTCAATTACAACATAATTGAAGGATATACTACATTTTGGGTTGTGATTGGAGGTGAGCTTTGATAATACCAAAATGTTTTTTGTTTTGGAGAAAATATTATGGATATAAAAACTACCCTAATCAAGGAATAAGGCATATCTGCCAAGTCAGTTTGAAGACATCATTTGTGGATTGATAATATCTCAAGTCTAGGCCCTGTTATTTTGTTGGGCTAGGTCAGATCCAAACAGCAAGAGTAGGGAAATAAACCACCTGCCCACAGGTTCAGATGACAGTGATTCTTCAGTTTCTCTGTAGTTTTCCACATTTCCTAGAACTTCATTATTCCTTCCTCATAGTCTGTACCTAAGTCTCTAAAAATACTCTGGCTATCTCAGGTCTTGTTTATTGAGTAAATACTTTGCTGTCAGATGACATCAGACCATCTTTTAACTTGCCGATTTTGTCTCTGGTGGAGATAGCATGGGCTTGCTAAAACCTTTAAAGTTATCCTCTTAATTACATCTTTATTTGTGACTTCCTCTGCTTATTTGAAGCATATTCATAAGTCTAGTTTCGAGACTAGAATCTTTCTACATTTTACCAAATGTAACTTATCTGTAGCGATAAACATTTCATTCCCAATAATGGGAGGTGCCTTTAAAAAAATTAAATCTCGATCTCTTTTGATGGCTAGAAGTAGACTCCATGTACTTTATTCAAACTGCTTTTCTAATCAGGCCACTCATTAAATTGCTGTTGCTGCCCAAAAGAAACCTCCAATTTCAACTCATTATTATCCCATCCTAAATCTTTTGTGGCTCAGTGTAACTCTTTCCCAGTTCTCCATACTTTTGTTGCATAAAGAATGGGGTTTGCCAAATTTTTTTCATTAAGGTCTTCTATTATTGAATCAAAATGCCACTAACATCTAACAAATTAACTGACAGTTTCCACTGATGGAAGAGAAAGATCTTTCCTTATCATTAGGAAACTTTTTTTTGTGAACCTTCTTTATAGTTGGTATGTAAGTCAAATATATGAGTCAATCAATACATGAATTAAACTTTAAGCCTCTTGCCTGGACTTTTTATTCTTTATTGTACTGTGAGATCATGGAATCATTCATAACTATTGCTTTGTAAATACTAAATAAATTTTTTAAATTATGTTATTTTATTTTGAGACAGAGTCTCACTCTGTCACCCAGGCTGAAGTGTAGTGGTGCGATCTCAGCTCACTGCAACCTCTGCCTCCCAGGTTCAAGCAATTCTTGTGCCTCAGCGTCCTGAGTAGCTGGGATTATGGGTGTACACCACCACGCCTTGCTAATTTTTTTTGTATTTTTAGTAGAGATGGGGTTTCACCATGTTGGCCAGGCTGGTCTCAAACTCCTGAGCTCGGGTGATCCGCCCACCTCGGCCTCCCAAAGTGCTAGGATTACAGGCATGAGCCACCGCGCCCAGCTGATACTGATACCAAATAAACTTTGTTGAATAAATGATGCCTGGAGTCTTCCCAAATTTGTCTATATCTCCTTTGTTTTTTGTTGTTGTTGTTTTGTTGGATTTTTTTTTTTTTTTTGAGACAGAGTCTCACATTCTGTTGCCCAGGCTGGAGTATAGTGGCATGATCTCGGCTCACTGCAACCTCCACCTCCCAAGTTCAAAGGATTCTCCTGCCTCAGCCTCCCGAGTAGCTGGGACTACAGGCGCATGCCACCATGCCTGGCTAATTTTTTGTAAAAGTAGAGACAGGGTTTCACCACGTTGGCCAGACTATTCTTGAACTCCTGACCTCAAGTGATCCACCTACCTCAGCCTCCCAAAGTGCTGAGATTACAGGCGTGAGCTACTGTGCCCAGCCTCTTTTGTTTTTTAAAAGATACCTAGCTCATTATCAGTAGGCCCTGAATAGTTTAAATGCTTAAGATTCCAAATTGAAAATTTTTAAGTCAAACTCTAAAAATTTTTACGTAGAAATTCCTTGTCTTAGCCCCATTTTTACCTAGCTACAGTTATTTTTTTTGGGAAAAAAATTAGGATGTGAGAGATTGTATTTCTGTTTTATCATAATAGCATTATTCACTGTATAAGATACAATCATCCAGTAATGAAACATTTCAAGGATCCATATATGGAAGTCAGTATTGCTTGTTTATATTCACACCTGCATATGTTGATTTCATTATACAATATTTTACCTCATTTTGAAAGTCATGGTTTAAGATACAGAACTCATGTGAATCACATTTCTAGGAAACCTTAAGTGAATTTCTTAAGATCTGCTTGAGCTGTTTACAGTGGTAACACATCTGTATGAAAGGCATGTCAAGAAGAACAGAGATGTGGCTTCACAACAAGCCAAAGGCTGTATTAAAATTATGTGCTGTCTAATAAAAAAGAAAGAAGATATCTAGTTAAGTGGCAGAATAGCATAAATGTGGTTATGTTCATTGCTTTTAACAGCTGAGAAAAATAATCTTGAATAATGGGCCAAAACCAGGAAAAGGCTTCAGGGGAAAATGTAGTTACAAGTACTTACAAGGCATGTACATTTTTTAAAATTATAGCCTTATCACATTCAAGCCACATCTGGGTACTTTTTTATATACTAATAAAAATACTGTATTTTTATTTGTAGGCAGTGTAGTAATAAGAATACTGTCTTTTATTTGGAGATAGCATTTCCAAGTATGTATTTGACCTTGCTAAGCATTCATGCTTCGTAGCCAATGATACTGAGCATTCCATCTGGAGTGCCTCTAGATAGGGGATTCACAATTGGTCTTTACTGGTTAGGGGGGATTCACAATTGGTCTTTACTGGTTAGGGAACATCCAGAACTTTTTGCTCATGCACAAAGTAAAAACCTTATATGTCCTGTTATATAAGTCCAGTTGGTGCCTGCATTCGTGTACTTTTTAACTTGACTTCTTACTCCCTCTGTGTGCTAGTATAGGGTCTCTTACAAGTGTACTTTTTCCTACATTGTATAAGCAATGAGAATTTTAAATGAAGTGAAGTTAATTTGCTAATATCTTGGGGTTTTTTTTTTTTTCTTCCCATGCCTTGTAAACCTTAAACCACTATACTTGTTCTATTTGAGGTGCAGGGGAGAGCATGAGTGAGTAATCACTTAGAAGGACAAATACAAGCTAAACCAAATACTTAAACGAAATTTGTTTTTACCTATGGAAATAAAAAAATTTTTTAGCCACATGCTTATGGATTTTTACTTTATACCTGCCTTTGCAATTTTGGGGCCTGATACAAGATCCTTGACTCTTTAAAAATAATGTGGCTCTTCATTATTTGGCTGACTGGCTTTTATACCATTAGAAGGAATTGGGAAGGAGAGGGGTCGCTAATCTCTTCTGCGTTCTTCTTCCCGAATCTCATTACCGTGACCTCTGTTCAGATTAAAAGTCTCCCTGGTGCATCCTATTATAAATCATACTTTTTTATGAATCGCTGACCATATTTGTCACCATTGGGGAGGCAAATAAACCTAAAACACAGAGCCTGTGTTCCAAACGAGTTCATAATTTATACAAGGATTAAAAGCTAATTCATATCATTCTTACACCTTTGCATCCTCACAGCTTAGCTCCCACTTACAAGTGAGAACGTGTGGTGTTTGACTTTCCATTCCTGAATTACTTCACTTAGAATAATTGACATTAGACTTTTTTTCCTTATATTTTCTTTTTCCAGTTTTCCTGAGTACCTTTCATTTGATATCCCCTCTTTCCTCTTACAAAACTTTTTTTGCTTACTAAACTCTTCTAGATAGTGTGGAAACCATGAGCTTTTCTGGAATGACCCTTAAACGTCTCTCCTTAAACTCATTTTACATTTTAACACTTCTGGTCATTTACAAACTACACTAAATTATTTCTTGAAAGCTGAGTCATTACAGTTATGATCTCTTAGCCAATGTTAAATGTTTGACTTGCGGTCATAAACTTTGGTTTTAGGATTCTAAAGCTAGTATACTTCATTAATAGCCCACCACCGTTGCTTTTTTCCAGTAATATCAAAGGAAACTTAATTCCAGAGGTTCATGTGTGTATCCTCTGGAAAGTTTTACATGTAAAAACGTTTGAAAATGAATTGTGCTATTAAAAAATAGGGCAAATTTTTGGCTGGGCGTAGTGGCTCACGCCTGTAATCCCAGCTCTTTGGGAGACCAAGGCGGGCGGATCACAAGGTCAAGAGATTGAGACCATCCTGGCCAACATGGTGAAACCTCATTGCTACTAAAAATACCAAAATTAGCCGGGCGTGGTGGTGCACGCCTGTAATCCTGGCTACTCGGTAGTCTGAGGCAGGAGAATCACTTGAATCCAGGAGGCAGAGGTTGCAGTGAGCTGAGATTGCACCACTGCACTCCAACCTGGCAACAGAGTGAGAGTCCACCTCAAAAAATAATAATAAGGCAAATTTTTAAATAGCTCATTTAAAGCAATGTTTTGTTGGCAGTTTAAATCAATGAAGTCTGATAGTTTGTTTCTACTATAGTTGTAATAATATATAATCTTGCAAAGATTGTGTATTTAATTGGGTATACACATCACTAGAACTCTAATTTTTAATATATCCTTTAATCTTCCAATATACCCAAATGTACAATTATTTTTTCCAGTATACAACCCTTCAGTGAAAAAAAAGTGTTATGACTGAGATAATTTACATAGGAAAATTATAAACTTTATGACTTAAAGTACATTTCTCATGTTATCTCACCGTTTTTTCTTAAATAATGCATACTTATTTCTACAGAATTGTTGAAATTGAGTCAATGGTTCTGACACTTGGGAAAACATAAAGACTAGGACTAGTGTCAGAGAACTGAACCCTTAGCTTCTGTTTTGTTCCTTCAGCGCTATTTTCTTATCCATATTTTGTAATAAAATGGAATTAAATGTGAAAATATCTATTAGGTTTTCAAATCAACAATATATGTTGTATATACGTTAAGAATTGCTCATTTTAATACATATTTTACTATATCACATGTGGAGATTGCTGTTGTCCATGTTTTTTCTAATTAATTTATACTGTTTTCCAGAAATATTAGAAACTTCATTGTACAGATCGTCTGCATAAAAAATCCTTAATGAAAAATAGAGTTTTGGATACAATGATGCTTATCTGTATTTTATCTCATTAAGCTTGGTTATTCTGTTTCTTATTCTAGCTCATTTATTTTGGGGAATTGCAAGGATTTGCTATATTATCTAAGGGAACACTTTAAACACATTTTCAAAAGAATCACATCAACAGTTAATATGTTTTAAAAAATTATATATGGAGCAATCATGTGAGATGTAGCATGACATAGTGAAAAGATCTAGTTATGGCACAACTATGTGTGACCTTGGCCAAAAAAATGGTCGCATGTCCAGCCGCCCCGTCCGGGAGGGAGGTGGGGGGGTCAGCCCCCCGCCTGGCCAGCCGCCCCGTCCGGGAGGTGAGGGGCGCCTCTGCCCGGCCGCCCCTACTGGGAAGTGAGGAGCCCCTCTGCCCGGCCACCACCCTGTCTGGGAGGTGTGCCCAACAGCTCATTGAGAACGGGCCAGGAAGACAATCGCGGCTTTGTGGAATAGAAAGGGGGGAAAGGTGGGGAAAAGATTGAGAAATCGGATGGTTGCCGTGTCTGTGTAGAAAGAAGTAGACATGGGAGACTTTTCATTTTGTTCTGTACTAAGAAAAATTCTTCTGCCTTGGGATCCTGTTGATCTGTGACCTTACCCCCAACCCTGTGCTCTCTGAAACATGTGCTGTGTCCACTCAGGGTTAAATGGATTAAGGGCGGTGCAAGATGTGCTTTGTTAAACAGATGCTTGAAGGCAGCATGCTCGTTAAGAGTCGTCACCACACCCTAATCTCAAGTACCCAGGGACACAAACACTGCGGAAGGCCGCAGGGTCCTCTGCCTAGGAAAACCAGAGACCTTTGTTCACTTGTTTATCTGCTGACCTTCCCTCCACTATTGTCCTATGACCCTGCCAAATCCCCCTCTGTGAGAAACACCCAAGAATGATCAATAAAAAATAAATAAATAAATAAATAAATAAATAAATAAATAAATAAAAAATGGTCGCATGTCTTCTCCTGTGCCTCATTTTCCTCATCTGTAGAACAAGATGATTAATACTTCTCTTACAGAGTGGTTGTGGGAATTAAATGAGTTGAGGACTAAGAAGCTGCTTTATAATGTACTCATCATATTATAATGGTGCCTTCTGTGTATTCTAAGCTTCATGGGGACAAGGACCCTGTCTGCTTCTTCATTGCTGTAGTCTTTAGGACTTAGCCCAGTGCCTGGCACATCATAAGCAATCAGTAAATATTTGTTGGTGTTTTTCCTGCCTCTTTGTGTTGATAAATAAATGAGGAATTAACTGACGTTTCTTACAAAGTTTATATATTGACCATAAATTGGTTCTGTTGGTCCATAAACTTCAACTTAGTTCCCTTTTTAAATCTAAATTTTTATGTAATTACTAATGTGCTTGAAAGTCTTTCAAACTCACATTTTGCATAAGTTAAAAAATGTTACTTTAAGCCAGGCATGTGTCTGTAATCTTAGCTATTTGGGAGGCTGAGGTCGGAGGACTGCTTGAACTCAGGAGTTCGAGACCAGCCTGGGCAATATAACCAGACCTCCTAGGCTCTTTTTTTTTTTTTCTTTTTAAGTTACTTTGTATTTCCTTTGGATTTTGAAGTTGCAGAAACTTTCATATATACTTTTAATAATATTCTGTCATTCCAAAACCTTCCCTGTGGAAATAGCCACATTGAGTTTATGGGCAGTGGATGCAGCTTGGAAAACGTTAATGTCTTATTGAAATGAAATGTTTCTCAAAAAACAAGAATATCAGTGGTAGGTTTTGTAAGTTTCTCCCTCTTAAAAAAAAAACTCTAAAAGAAAAATCTCTATTTTCACCTTTGATTATCACAGGTAACAGTTATTTAGTTCTTCAGTCCATGTAGGTAAAAATGCAAATGGCTTTATGGAAATGAGTACTAAAGCTTGGATCCAGTCCTGCCTTAGCTACATCTAAAGGTGTGATCATGAGCAAGCCATTCAGGTTCTCTGAGATTGTGATAAACTCAGATAAATCCTACCTCAAAAGAACTTTGTGGGCCTCAAGTGACATAACATGTACTAGAAAGTGCTGTGCATAGTGTAAAGTGCTCTACGAAAGAGTGCAGGGTTCTTAATTTCTTGGTACTGTAGACCCCTTTGGCCATTTTGTGAAGCTTGTAGGGCCCTTCTCAGGTGTAAACAAAAGAATTACAAAGAAATCCAATTATATTGAAATTCAGTTATCAAAATATTTGAAAGTAAGAGTAATTTATGGTTCTTTATTAACATTAAATAAAATGTTATTATTGTGTGTTTAATGACTTCAGTAGTTTTGAAGCAGTGATGACCATAAATGATGTTTAAATATACCCGTAGCAACTGTAATGTGATCTCTGTTGATGACAAAAATCACCAGTATTGCTAATACCACTGTGGTTTGTGCCTGTATTTATAATTGAAAGAAATGCTAAGCGTCACTTAGAGGTTAGTGAATACATTGTAATTGTTTTTTCTCATTTAAGTTCATGAACTCCTTGAATTCTATCCATTATTCCCCAAGTTTAAGAACCCCTGTGATGTATTAATGCTAGTCATTAACACAGTGTGTGTTAAGGGCATAGCTCTACTCAAGGGCATTTAAAGTATATTTGTCAAGGTGATATCTTGTAGGTTATTTGGAGTTTAGTTTCATTAATCTTAATTTTGGAATTAAGGTTTAAGACTGATTATCAAAATAGTTAATAGTTAATTTGGGGTACAAATATTTAATTAGATATACAACTTACATGACTGATTATCTCATAAATGATTGTTTCTAGAGCTGTTTATTTAAAAGGGATTAAACTTCTTTTCTAAAATTATTACCAGGATCAGCCAAGATCTTGCTCTCATTGCTCGGGAGATCAACGATGTAGCAGGAGAGATAGATTCAGTGACTTCATCAGGCACTGCCCCTAGTACCACAGTAAGCACTGCTGCCACCACCCCTGGCTCTGCCATAGACACTAGAGAAGAGGTAGGAGATCTTCATGGAGAAATGCATAAGGTTCTTTCTTTTCTTTATTTCTTTTGCTTTTAGCTTTTTGCTTAGTTTATTTTAGTTATGTCCACCCTCCCTGTTTGCATGAAGCTCTGCATTTTCCAACTTTGCTTTAACAGTTTATGTTTTTGTAACAAAACTAGTGAAGGCTAACATTTGGTCTACTATTAACACGAAGCTGGAAAATTCTTTAGAAACAGCATTTTGCCTGCTAATTCTTGGTCCGTAGCTTCACTTGAAACATGAATATAAATGGTATTTTGAAAAGCAACCCAAAATTTGATAAATGATGGTATAAAGTTTCTATAAAGTTTGACTATGAAAATGCTCCAATTAAAAGTATTTTTATCGCTAGTTAACTAGAAGATACTCTGATAACAAAGAGAAAAATCCTACAGTTTCACTGCTTTAATAATTCTGTTGATAAATACAAACACATACACATAAAGATATTTTGAAAAATTGAAATATATATGTAATATACACACATACAAATACATATTCAGAACATTTTTATAAAGTCTGGAATGCAAGTTACCATGTATAGACTATTACCCATCCAATATCAGGGCCTCTTACAGTATAACTCCAGGAAGCACCATTTGCATAACATTGCTCCAGACAGCGCCTTTAACATATAATACAAAATTAATGGTACTCTTTGGCCATGTTGGCTGCTTTGATTTGGGGCAGAAATATAAGCAAAGGATTGGCATTTAAAAGAATGAACTTCTGTGTTTGGAGGTTGGCAAACTGGCCTTGCTGCCAGTTTTAATACAGACCAAAGAACTAGGAATGGTTTTTACATTTTTGAATGGCAGGAAAAAACATCTAAAGAATACTAATTCGCAACATGAAAATTACATGAAATTCAAATTTTGGTATTCATAAATAAAGTTTTATTAGAACACAGCCACACTTATTTGTTTAACTATCATCTATGGCTGTTTCTTTGCTACAGGGGCAGAACTGAGTAGTTGAGACAGAGATTGTATGGCTGCAAAGCCTGAGGTTTTATTATCTGTCTCTTTATAAATAAAAGTTTGCCAGCCCCTGGTATTGATTATTCTGCTTCTTCAATTTTACAAGATAATCCTAAATAGTAGGCAAAAATGGCTAGCCTTTTTGACAAATTTAATTGTGGTAAACTGTGCTAATAATATTTTCTTCATTTGCTTTCTGTCACATTCTTTAATCTGATTCTTTAATGGTCACTTTTTTGTTTGTTTTCCTTCAGTGTGTTGTTTAACTTAATAAATGATACTTCATCAATCTGTGTAGAGTTTTGTTACCACATTGATCAAATGTAACTGTAAATGAAATCATCCTTATTGATGAAAACCTTAAGGATCGTCCTGGTGGCAAGACATACACAATTCTTCTAGTACATTTAAAATGATGAAGATATTATTTTCTCAGCTTTCTAACTAAATTTTACCTAACATGGTTATACATTCACTCAGACCCAGTAAAATTACTTAAACATTTCATTGAATAAACTTCATTTTCTTTTTGTTTTATTTCAGAATATTGTACTAGGTTGATTCCCTCTTCAGTAAACCCGTTACTTAGTATTGTATGTCTGTGATTTGCACTGTAGATGGCAGTATATCATTTCTATTAGAATGTGTAACTTCTATAGCATTGTTAAAAGTTTATTTGACTAAGATCAAAATATTTATTTTGTGGATTAAAAAATATTTTCCTTTTGTAAACTTAATTGGAATTTGCCATTTATGTATCTTGTGAAGAAATTTGACACCTGGATTTGGGGAGGAAAAAACAAGATAGGAAACTAAAAGAAAAAGAAACATTATTTTACACTGGTAAGGCAATGTGAGTAAAATGAACTCATTGTCCATCTACATGGCTCAGCTTTTTTTCTGTTTACCATCTGTTTTCCATTTGGAGAAAATCTTATCCATGGAAGAATTGAATTTAACATAGTTATATATTTTGGATTTTGAAATAAAACCTATGTAGATGAATCTCGATTTTATAAAGGAAATACATTTGAAGTGCTTATAAAAAGAAAGAGTAATTGGTTTATTGAAGATGTTATGCCTCTGTTACTACTTGAGAATGGAATAACTTCTGTCTAATTATAAAAATTGTAATGCCAATATTGGTACTTTTTCTTTTTCAAATTACTGTGTTCTCATAAAGGTTTGCTTTCGTCCCATTAGTTGGTTGATCGTGTTTTTGATGAAAGCCTCAACTTCCAAAAGATTCCTCCATTAGTTCATTCCAAAACACCAGAAGGAAACAACGGTCGATCTGGTGATCCAAGACCTCAAGCAGCAGAGCCTCCCGATCACTTAACAATTACAAGGCGGAGAACCTGGAGCAGGGATGAAGTAAGTAAACTATAAATTTTAACATGCGGCAGAAGCAGCATGTTCCGTAAGAAAAGGAGGAACCGTTCAGTGAGTAGGGCTGGGGAAAAAGTGATTCTCCTTAATGAATGCAATGAAATTTCACCATGACATCACATCATATACAAATAATTATGTCACTTAGAGGTTAGCGAAAATAATACTGTAATTGTTTTTTCTCATTTAAGTTCATGAATATGAATTTAGTTCTTAAATTCATTCTCCAAATGAATTTAGAACATGAAGCATGTTCCGTAAGTGAGAAAAGGAGGAACCATTCAGTAAGTAGGGCTGGGAAGAAAGTGATTCTCCTTAATAAATGCAATGAAATTTCACCATGACATCACATCATATACAAATAATTATGTCACTTAGAGGTTAGTGAAAATAATATTGTAATTGCTTTTTCTCATTTAAGTTCATGAATATGAATTTAGTTCTTAAATTCATTCTCTAAATGAATTTAGTTCTTAAATAATGCATGAAAAACTGTAAAACTTTTACTTAAAAAATACAGACAAATATCTTTCAATATTGTACTAGGGAGTGATTTCTTAAACACAAACTTTTGGCCTTAGAAAATTGAGACATTTGAGTATATTAAAATTAAGGACTTTTTCTTTATTAAAAAATAAAGAAGGTAGAAATACAAGTTACAAACTTTTGCAAAACATACAGCCTATGAAGGATTAGTATACAGTATATATAAAGAACTCCCTCCAATCAATTAAAAAACACAATAGAAAAATCTGCAAAGACATGAACAACATTTCACCAAAGAGAAAATACTGAGGCGGGCAGATCACCTGAGGTCAGGAGTTTCAGACCAGCCTGGCCAACATGGTGAAACTCTGTCTCTACTACAAATAAGAAAATTAGCCAGGCGTGGTGGCATGTGCCTGTAATCCCAGCTACTCAGAAGGCTGAGGCAGGAGAATCACGTGAACCCGGGAGGCAGAGGTTGCAGTGAGCTGAACCCACACCACTGCACTCCAGCCTGGGTGACAGAGTGAGACTCTGTCTCCAAAAAAAAAAAAGAAAAAGAAAATACTTAAGGCCTACAAAACATAAAGAGAAGTTTAACTTAACGAGCATTCAGAGAAATGCATGTCAAGACTACGGTGAGATTATAATCATTCAATTGTTGACACGTTAAAGTCTTAAAATGTTAAGTATTGGAGGAAAGGTAGATACATAGGCTTTCTTATGTGTGGTTGGTGGAGGTTAAGTTGGTGCTGCGGCTCTGGAAAACAGTTTGACACTATCTCCTAAAGTTGAAAATAAAGACATCACATGATCTGGCAATTTTCTTGCTAGTATATGTACAAGAAAAACCCTTTCCCATTGACAGTAGAAGTTACATTTATAGTAACATTGTTGACAGTATCAAAAACTTGGAAACTGTTTACATCAGCTGAAAAGTGAATGTATAAACTGGTATATTCCCAAATTGAACAATAATAGAGTAATAAAAAACTCAAAGATATAAAGGAGTTTCTTCATAAAAGAATGGTTATTTCAAATACTACTGTGGAAAGAGGTGATTTATGAACAACACACAGAGGTGGTATAGGCTTAAGGGCTGGGTAGAGGAATAATGTAGAAAGAAACAGTTGACCAGAAGAGATTGATCATAGATTAATATTTGTGGATCCCTGGATTTAGGAATAAGATCTTGAGATTATTATGTAAGAATATGTATGTTTCTCATGGTACTGAGTAGAAAAAGATCTACCTGGTAGAAAAGTATGCAACTAGCCCGAAAGTTACAACTGAAGTATACTAAAACGTTTTACAGCATACTTGATCTGTCCTGGCCTAATAGTTGATTTGTTCTTGGTATCAGGAAAAGAGCCTATTCTCTAAACTTACTCATAATCATTCTGTCCCGATGTCTAGGAAGACAAATTTCTCCAAACATAATAAAACTATGTGGAAGAAGTGTATGTTTTTAAAGAGAATGGAAACATCTAGATTGATAGTTATCTCAAGGTTGAGATCAGGAATTTATTTAATACTTTGTGACAACAAACTAAACTTCATGAGCAAAGAAAAGAGAAATATCCTATTCTGTGTTGCAATGTTTCCTTAGACTCTCCTGCCCTTTCTCATGCCTTCCTAATTTGTATATGTCTTCCATCCTTATTTGATTGTTTTCTTAAGGCCCACAAAAACCATTTTGCTTATTTATCCTTTCCTTGACAATGTTATTTTTCACAACCTAAATAAACTTTTGTTACCCACTAAATTCAAATCCTTGTCATTCTGAAGTTAGTTCATGTTTTTCCATGATCACTTCCTTATTTATGCCACTCATCAATGAACTCTCTTTCATTAGAATTCTTTTTTCTTTTTTTTTTTTTTTTTTGAGAGGGAGTCTCGCTTTGTCACCAGGCTGGAGGGCAGTGGTGCTATCTCCGCCCACTGCAACCTCTGCCTCCCAGGTTCAAGCAATTCCCCTGCCTTAGCCTCCCGAGTAGCTGGGACTACAGGCACACACCAGCACACCCCGCTAATTTTTGTATTTTTAGTAGAGATGGGGTTTCACCATGTTGGCCAGGATGGTCTCGATCTCCTGACCTCGTGATCCACCCACCCCAGCCTCCCAAAGTGCTGGGATTACAGGCGTGAGCCACTGCGCCCGGCCTCATTAGAATTCTTACAGCACTGAATCCCAAAATTTATATGAACGTCTCTTGTTTTGTAGGCCTTAGGCTTAATGATAAAATATGTAATCGTATTCCCTGTATATTACCGTCACCTCTCCCAGTGGTCTTTAAACCTTTTTGCCTTCTAGGGCCTTATTTTCTGTTTTCTTTCAGGCTCTGGATATAGTACTGACAATATAAGGAGTTCATTTTGAAACCCACGGCTAGACTCAAGTTTTGTCCTTTTTCTACCATGCTTCATTAGCTTTGCCTTTCATGATTTGGCCTAGGGCTTGGCAAACTTCAGCCCATAGGCCAAATCCAACCTGTCACTTGTTTTGTAAAAGTTTTGTTACAACACGGCTATGTCCACATGCATAATTTGCTCATTATTTATGGCTGCTTTCACTCTGCAAAGGCAGAGTTGAGGAATTGTGGCAGAGACCCTATGTCCCTCAAATACTAAAACCTTCACCCTCTGGCTCTTTACAGAGGTTGGTGACCCCTGGTTTTGCCCATGCATCTCAACTGGGGTAATACCAACACTCAGTACAAAAACTTACTATTTTGTGTAAATTTTTCAAAATGTATGTTTCCCACTAGACTCTTTGCTGGAGAACAAGGATTGTACTCTTCTTGATTTCTGTATTCACATTACTTAGACCCTATGTCCCTCAAAGACTAAAACCTTCACCCTCTGGCTCTTTACAGAGATTGGTGACCCCTGGTTTTGCCCATGCATCTCAACTGGAGTAATACCAACACCCAGTATAAAAACTTACTATTTTGCGTAAATTTTTCAAAATGTATGTTTCCCACTAAACTCTTTGCTGGAGAACAAGGATTGTACTCTTCTTGATTTCTGTATTCACATTACTTGGTGAAAGAATAAATAATAAATTTAGTACTCTAAGTTATTTGTATCTTCTCTTTTATAATTCAGTTGGAAGTAAGAGAGACAGGATCACAATAGTAATTGAAGATAAACTGAGGATAAAATGGATTGTGTTTGGAAACTGATATGACCAAAATAATACGGAAACTTTGACAAGTTATTTAATAATAAGAACTCCTTTGTTAATAGTGTTTCTTTCACTTTCTCTTTAGTTACATATTAATTATATTCTTCACTGGTTTATAATTAAAATAAGCATAAATACTAACTGCCCCTAACTATAGTGACTTGTGACTAGTGATCTCAGTAGTTATACAATACAGGGGTAATATTTTAATATCTACTTTTTTCTTTGGCTGTTTCAGGTCATGGGAGATAATCTGCTGCTGTCATCCGTCTTTCAGTTCTCTAAGAAGATAAGACAATCTATAGATAAGACAGCTGGAAAGATCAGGTACATGTACATATAGCTTTAACTTTAATATCACCTCACTTTGCTTTTTGCTTTTTCTCAAGGTTAAAAATGTGTCATCAGAATGAATATGTTTACCTTTGGAAAAATTTGTCCCAAAGTAAATATCTATCCAGTACTACTTTGTAACTTTAAATTTATTACTAATTCAAAACATAAATAGACTTACAGATTTTATTCAACAGTACTTCAGAAATCCATGCTGCTATTGCTTATTTCTGATTCCTATAATTAAAATTTAAAATGTAATGAAACAGTATTTGAACATGGTTTGTGAATTGTAATATTCCACACAAATATAATTCTATATTGCTTATATATTGAAATAATATATTTTATCAGCATTTGATGAGTACCAAGAAGCCATTAAATTTTTTCAAAAACAATTTCAAAAGCACCATTTAAAAATTAAAGTATTCTTAAAAACAGTCTATTTAACTTAAAGCAATCTGTTTTAAGTTACTGTAAACGAAGTTTGCATCATCTTCTAGAAAAATTGAGAAATTCAGAAGGAAATGTAGAAAGTTGGCCTATATAGGTAAATTTTACTTGGCATGTTAAGAAACAGAAAGAGCTTTCTTTTTATCTTGAGCCTGTATCTTAAAAATTTCTTAAAGGTGGCCGGGCATGGTGGCTCACGCCTGTAATCCCAGCACTTTGGGAGGCCGAGGCGGGCAGATCATGAGGTCAGGAGATCAAGACCATCCTGGCTAACACGGTGAAACCCTGTCTCTATTAAAATTCAAAAAAATTAGCCGGGCGTGGTGGTGGGCGCCTGTAGTCCCAGTTACTCGGGAGGCTGAGGCAGGAGAATGGTGTGAACCCGGGAGGCAGAGCTTCCAGTGAGCCGAGATCGCACCACTGCACTCCAGCCTGGGCAACAGAGCGAGACTCTGTCTCAAATAAATAAATAAATAATAATTTCTTAAAGGTGTACCAGACTTTCTCTTCACTTTATTGCCTCCTAAAAGAATATTAATATAAAATTCCTTATGTTAAAAGTAATGTATTCTGCACTGTCTTGTCCCATTTTTCTATTTATTTTAAAATGTATAGCTTTTTAGCAAAAGTAATACATGAACATGGTTAAAAAATATAAATATTCCAGAAAAATATATATTATATCTAATAGTGGGTGTGTTTCCCCACTCTGGGTTCATTTCTCAAAGGTTTATACAAACATGATCATATTTTATCTACTTTTGTACCTTGATCTTTTCTCTTAATTAGATCTTTACTTTCCCCAAAGAGTATGAGTGAAATGTATTGACAGACCCCTCCATATTTGATTGGCATATGAGGCATGCTGCCTTAGTGAAAAAATAGCTGAGTCTGGGTGCAGTGGCTCATGCCTGGTAATCCTAGCACCTTGGGAGGCCAAGGCAGGCAGATCATTTGAGCCTAGGACTTGAAGACCAGCCTGAGCCACAAAGCGAGATTAAAAAAAAAAAAAATTGGCTGGGCATGGTGGCACATGCCTATAGTCCCAGCTATTTGAGAGGCTGAAATGGGAGGATCACTGGAGCTCATGGGTTCAGAGTTACAGTGAGCCATGATCATGGCACTGCACCACAGCCTGGGCGACAGAGCAAGACCCTATCTCAAAAAACAGCAATAGAATGTTTAAAACGTTTGGCTTTTCGTAAAGAGTACCTTGTACATATAAATAATGTTGAAGGTGTTTTTAATGACTACCATTACGTACCTATCCATTGTTTTTTAAAGAGAATTTACCTTTATCAATTCCCATATATTCTTATGAATTTTAAATAGACTTAATTTTCTACAGAATAATATTTTAATATTTACTTGTTAACAAATAAGTATTAGGTACATTCTAGGTACTTTATAATTAGACATTGACAAAACAAAGACCCCTGTTCTCATGAAATTTACATTCTATATCATGTAAACCAATCAGCTTGTATTAAGTTAGCTATTTCTGCTATCTACACATGATTTGACTTAATTTCATTATTTCACTTGAATATTACCTGTATTTTACTACTCACATTTTCTATTTCCACTTGAAACCCAATAACCTGCATCAACTTTTTCTTATTATTAAAATCACTGGTTACACTGATGAGATAAAAAGTATAATAACAATATTAATTTCAGGTATAAATTGGAACCTTATTAACTAAAAAATTTTAAGGCTTATAATTGATTTTAGAGAAATTAAATTAGTTGCATGCTGTTTATAAATACCACATTTTATAAATCCTGATAGGGCTTATAAATGAGTCCATTGTTTTTCTTTTACTCACACTCAGTGATTAAGTAATTAGCACCCTATTATTGTCTTACGTGAGATATAGTACATGTTTTCCCCTAGTGACTCCATCATTCCTGGGTTTACTTCTTTCACAAGTAAGAGAATCCCCTTCACCGTGCAACCCATTCACCTATGATTTGCTAATATATCCTATGGCCAGAGACAAATGAAGTCCACCATTCCCTGGGGTAAAGCCTAACTGAAATTTGTAGGGAAAAAAATTTTAAGCTTAACTTACTAGTTTTTACACATGAATAAACAAATCTATAGGCCTCAATCACACAGCTGCTTATTAATATCATGATTTGGCTCAAGCATTCATTGTAGTTAAATGTAATATATAATTGTTATCATTTTTATTTTAGTTCCACTAAAATTATTTTCTAAAGCTGGGGCATTATGGAAGGATTATTAACCAAAGAAATAAATAAATGAAATAAATATTGGTTAAGATCATCTTATATGGGAATAAAGTCTCCAGACTCATTCATTCATTGAATGATTTTTGACTGTATGTTATTTGTCTAGCACTGTTTTTGATGTCCTCACATTTGAGTGTAGAAGGCAGGTAAACAGGTAATTATAGTTCAGTGTGTTAAGGGAAATATAGGATGGTTACTACGGAAGCCCATAGCAAGGGCACTTGGGAAATTCAGAGAAGGGCTCTTAGAGAAATTGCCATGCAATTTAAGTCCTGAATGATGAGGAGAGGTGTTACTCAAAAGCTATGTGAAGTGAAAGGGCCAGAGTATGGTGAGAGATGACACTAGAGAGATGAGGATGAATCTGTTTTGGCAGAATTTGTTAAGGAGTTTGGATTTTATCATTAAAAACCATAGGAAGCTAATATATCCAATATGGGTCCTCTTGATACACCAGTGCTATCTGTAAAAACATCATGACAGTCTTGTATGGTCATGTGGCTTGCACCTGGAAAACCCTGGAGTCTCCTTACCTGTAAACAAGTACACAATGTTTTTTCATCCTACCTACTGAAATACAGGTCCGTCCCTGATAACTGGATTCTTAACCACTCATTCATTTATTCAGCAGATGTTCACAGATTACCTGCCGTGTACCATTCTCTTCCTTACCACGGAGCAGCTTTCCTACATTCTGTAGTCTCCCCCAAAGAACAATATTTTTTGTAGCTTTGACATTGAACTAAAATTGAGAACAAAGAAGACATTGCTGATGGATTGATAAACTGTATTGTCTCAGAAAGTGACAGAATTTATAAAGTTTAAAAAAGGATGCATAAAAATGCCTCAATAAAGTTATACATAAATACAGAATGTTTAATGTATTTGAATTGCCTTCAGTTCGAGTGTTGAGTTTTACTATGCATAAAGCACTATGGCAGGCTTTATGGAAGGTAATGAGGATAAAACCATTTCTATTATTAAAGAGTTTCCAGTGTAGTTGGCAAGGTGAAGCACATATACAATCAACTATCATACAAGATAGCGTATAATAGATTAGTGCTCAGTTAGAGATATAAAGGCAAAGGAAGGATCACTTTCACCTAGGAGATTTAGGGAAGGCTTTGGGAAGAAGATACTATTCAAAGGTAGGTCTGAGTTGTGATAACCAAACCTAAGGGGTAGAGACCTGGGCCTTCTGCATGGAAAGTGCCAGGGTAGTTTGAGAATCAACTGGTCTTTAAGCTTTGTGTCAGGAGTTATAACCTCAAATGTCTACTGGGGTTCATCCTAGAGGCATGCGTATTTACATTGTATGAACACTGTCTGTGGAATCAATTTTTAAATATTTATACAGGAACTCCTGTTGTACAGCATTCTCATTGCATTCCATGTGAAAATGACCCCCTTAGGTTGTGTAGCACGGCCTTGCATTGGTAGACTCTCAATTCGCAACTCCGCGTTCGCATGTTTTAAGGGCTAGTACTAGGGAATTGGTTATGGCTCGTAGAATAGGAGCCTGAGACTTCTGTTTGTTTCCCTAAAACCAATGGCTTTATCAAAAGTATTTAACTTAATTCTTAAATTATTGAATGAAATAAGCTTTGGAATTTTATGTATTTTCATGCTGAAGTTTAGCTTATTTTGAATCTATAATATAATCTGAATATCACTTTGAAAGCTATGATTTTTTCAGCTTAAAATTGATAAGGACCTTCAAACAAAAACAAGTTCTGATCATTATAGCCTGGTCTAAACTAATTTCTTGGTCTGATTTTCTGATTCTCTAGTATTTAAATATTAAATATTATAGTAAATATTACAGTAAAGTTTATTTCATAATGCCAAAATGACAAGTTTGACTTCTTAGATCTGTTCTATTACATATTACAAATTGTTTTTTGTTTTTTGTTTTTTGTTTTTGAGATGGGCTGGAGTGCAGTGGCATGTTCACAACTCACTCACTCAGTGCAGCCTCGATCTCCCTGGGCACAAGCAATCCTCCCACCTCAGCCTTCTTAGTAGCTAGGACTACAGGCATCTGCACCACACCTGGCTAATTTTTTTGTATTTTTTATAGAGACGAGGTCTCGCCATGTTGCCCAGGCTGGTCTCGATCTCCTGGAATCAAGTGATCCACCCACCTTGGCTTCCTAAAGTGCTAGGATTACAGGCATGAGCCATTGTGCCTGGCCAACAAACTGTATTTTAAAATAAACCATTTATTTCTTCAGGGGGGCATTTTTTTTTCAGGGGCAACCCGTGAAAAACCCATTTTCACCAAAGGTGAAATGTCTATGGTCTAACAGTTTTAGATCCACAAACACTATACTCAGTAGCCATCCTCTGGAAAAATTCACTGAATTTTTAGCACTGTGTGGCTAAACAGAGTCTTTCTCTATTGTATAAGTCCATTACAGTTCTAAGTTGGTCCATGAAATAGTCATTATTTCCTTATTTTCCATCAGTCCTAATGCTGCAAGGACTCTTTTACAAGAACATAATAATTTAGAAAAGATGGCTGGCAAGGGTGTTCATTTTTTTGAGTTTAGAAAATTTAATAAGTAGGCCATAAGAATATTCTTATACCAGATTCTAGACCCGTTGCCACCTTAAGCAAATGTTCCAGACTTGATGTGATGTTAATGAGTTTCATGTTTTTAAATAAGGTAAGTCTGGCATGTTGATCTTTGAAGAAATACCAGCACAAATATTAACTTAGTTTACTACTTAAATGCTGATCAGCTTGCAGTAGTAATACATTTACATGAGGTTATATAGTGTTGTTTAAACTAGATTTCCAGACTTACTGAAAAAATTTTAAAAGAAACCAAAAAAGTAGCTAGTATTTACATCTTTCTAAGACTGCTGAATCATGTCTGATAGACTCTAAAGTGTTAGAAAAGTGTCCCACATTTGAAAGACACGTCAAAATTTTGTGGTCCTTTATTTTATAAGTTATTTGATGTTAGGGTAATGATAGGATAATTATCTTTATTGGCAATTGTTTTTATCAAAAGGATAGCATCCTAATTCCTAATAGGTTATTATGTGCAAGTATACTAACACGAATTAACAATTGTTAAAGAAAAGCACAGTAAGTACTCCCAATTTTTGGTCTTTAAAATAATATAGACACTTTTCTTGATCGATAAGGTGCTTATTCCTATATAAAGAGGTCTTAACAGACACAATTGTTTATACCTAATTCAACCTATTTTCATCTCACTTATTCCTATACTGCATATATTCTGTCTGAATAAAATTGCATTTTCTTTATAAGTGACAGTTACACAGTCTTTTCTCCTTATACCCAGGTGATACATGTTGTTCCCAGATATCCACTGGATGCCTGACACCACAGATAGTTCTAAAACCTAATATACTGTGTATTTTCCTACACATACATGCCTATGATAAAGTTTAATTTATAAATTAGGCACAGTAAGAGATTAACAATAGTAACTAATAATAAAATAGAACATTTGTAACAATATACTGTAAAAAAAAGTTATGTGAGTGTGGTCTTTTCTCTCTCTCTCTCTCTCTCTCCCTCTCCCAAAATACTGTAATAGTTTCGGACCATGCTTGACTGCCACTAACTAAAACCATGGAAAGAGAAACCGTGGATAAGAGGGCATTACTGTATTGTAAATTATAAATATTAAAGTTTTGAGGTCATAACATCATTTACATTTGTTTTATATTTTGTTTTCAATAAAGAATAAGATAAACGGTAAAGAATATATGCATGTATTAATAAGCATTCAATTGGAGCTCATACACATGAATTAATTGGTACTGTTGGCTTAGTATTTTAATTCTCAGTTTATGCAATGGTTGGTTTTTTTTCTTTGTGTACCTTTGAAAAGATACATTGCTTTGGTATTATTAACAAAAAAGTAATAGGTTTTTAAAATATAAAAAGTTATATGCTTATGTTTTTTGATTTATAGAATATTATTTAAAGACAAAGATCGGAATTGGGATGACATAGAAAGCAAATTAAGAGCCGAAAGTGAAGTCCCTATTGTGAAAACCTCGAGCATGGTATAGTAATTTTTCTTGAAGATTAAAACATTTTAATAGGGTTTTATTTTAAGGAAAAGACCCTTATTTTTGAGCTGTTCGTTGATTTGCTTTTTCAAAAGAAGATATAAATGCAAAATTTTGGGAAATTTTATTTCTTCTACTGACTCACAGGTTTAAAATGTTGATTGTTTCAAAGTTGCAGAGGGTATGAAGGAGGAGCCTTTTGTGTTTCTTACTAGTGTAGATTGTTCTTGTAATAATTAAACATTAGAAACATGAAATTTTTAAAGAGAACCAAATCTAACATGAAAATATTAAGTTGACATAAGTCGTTTCCGTTTACTTAATATAATGCTTATCTTCTTTTTAAAAGAATTTGTACAGATTTTCATTGCTCAGAATATAATTATAATATTGAGGTTGCAGTTTATATGTTTTTACAAAGATAATTTGAAGGCATTTTTACATAGTCATTGCAAGGTTGATTAATAAGAATTTTAAAAATCTTTGCGGCCGGGTACTGTGGCTCACGCCTATAATCCCAGCACTTTGTGAGGCCAAGGAGGGTGGATCACTTGAGGTCAGGAGTTGAAGACCAGCCTGGCCAATATGGCGAAACTCTGTCTTTACTAAAAATACAAAAATTAGCCAGGCATTGTGGCGGGCGCCTATCATCCCAACTCCTTTGGGGGCTGAGGCAAGAGAATTACTTGAACCTGGGAGGAGGAGGTTACAGTGAGCCAAGATTGCACCATTGCACTCCAGTCTGGGCAACAGAGTGAGACTCGGTCTCAAAAAAAAAAAAAAAGTCTTTGCTTAAATAGTAGTAAATGACTTTAAACTTTTCATCTGCTACAATCATCTCATTGAAAAAGTTATTCTATTTCATTTTAGTTTAAATATTTTAATTTGAATCTTGTTTGCTAGATATCATAATTATTTCATATCATGTTGCTATTAATGTAGTAAGTACCATGTAGATAATATTAAGTGTTCCAAATAAAGTGAGAGTGAAATTCATTGCTTGTAAAGTGATAACATTTAGCTAAAAGTAGGCTAATTTTTGTTATTGCTTTCCCTGCAGGAGATTTCTTCTATCTTACAGGAACTGAAAAGAGTAGAAAAGCAGCTACAAGGTAAATTTACTACTGAATTAAGTATAAAGAGCTAATAATTTAGAATAAGTGCCTTCTGAGTGGTATTTCTTAAAATATTCTTATTGTTAGGATGTTATTTGATTAAATGTAATGACATACATAAAATACAGAGTTCAAACATTCACATTATTCATAAAAAGGAATTTTTTTAAACCCAGTATAAAAATTTAAAATATAATAAAGATATATGTTGGGCATATTTTAGTTCATAGGTTTGACAATAGGCTAGATGTCATAAACTAATTGAAATTTTTTATGTATTACATATAAATAATATGTGAAAAATATGTAATAAAGTTGTGTTAATTAGCATTATTTGTGTGATTTGACAGTTCTTAAATTATGTTGGTGGTGTAACCTGAAACAAACTTACATTCTAATAGAAATAATAGTTGTTTGGTTGACAAGAAATGAGTACATATTGGCCATAGAGACCAGAAGAGAAAGGAGAGAAGAAAGTGAAAGAGGCTGCCCTCTAAACTTGTCAGAGCTGGGCTGTGTGCATTAATGCCTATGTATGTCTTGACCCAGAAGTCCCCAGTGGTACAACAGGCAGGTTCCATAGTCAACTGCTAATTCTACTGAGTCTTTATCTATCGAATAATCATAGGTACTTATGTGGATCCTATCAAAATGATTTTTCATCTTTATTTAGCCCCAACACACCTAAGGGTTATGGTATAACCCATGAGTAAAAGTGGCTTGCTAACACAGTGCTTGTTAGCTGGTAGACTGGGGGTATACTTTTAAAAGTCCCTTCTACATGATTCTTACATCTATGTTACTTCCTTCTCCCAACTCCCTACTCTGCCCAATGCCAAATTGAAAATCACCGCCTGAGAACTTTCCATGTCAACCCAAAGATCTTTTGGACTGAAAGCTGACCTTTAACTGACCCCTTCCACACAGGCAGCAAGTCTGTTTGGCTTTGCAAGCTGCCCTGTGATATTAGTCTGTAGGCTCTGAGGGAACCCCTGTATCTCAGTGGTATATACAGCTGATACCCTAGCACTCTGGCCAGGCTAAATGACCGTATTCTATGGTAGCATTCAAAGTATGCTGATGTTCTTCTGGCCTCTCCAGCCTTGAGGTTACTCTGAACCCTGACTTAGCAGCTAATACCTCAGTTATCTGAGTGATAAATAGGGTTTAGATGTTTATTAAAAATCATATTCAGTATTTTCTCTATCCTCTCACAATAATGAAGACAAATTTCAACAAGATTTTTCTTGAATTCCACGTCTTCAAATACCAGACTTATAAGTCTCTGAAATGCCCGTAAGTGCCACATCAAAGGACCCAGAGAAAGTATTCAGGGCTGGGTAATTTACAGTACAGCTACAGAATAACTAAGAATGGAGTTTTAAATATAATATTGGAAGATTAGCCACATTTAAGATCACATACGCACTGATAGTTTAAATATTATCCAAATCATGAACAGTGTTTATATGTGAATGTAACTGCATCTAGAATTATTTCCTTTTCCCGCCCTTTAGCAATCAATGCTATGATTGATCCTGATGGAACTTTGGAGGCTCTGAACAACATGGGATTTCCCAGTGCTATGTTGCCATCTCCACCGAAACAGAAGTCCAGCCCTGTGAATAACCACCACAGCCCGGGTCAGACACCAACACTTGGCCAACCAGAAGCTAGGGCTCTTCATCCTGCTGCTGTTTCAGCCGCAGCTGAATTTGAGAATGCTGAATCTGAGGCTGATTTCAGTATACATTTCAATAGAGTCAACCCTGATGGGGAAGAGGAAGATGTTACAGTACATAAATGACTTTCTCTTGATTGTTGAAAAATCATTACCTGTGGAATGACTAGGAATATTGGAAGCAGCATAGTGTTGACGTACGCAAAACAAGACAGCTTGGTCAGCTACAATCTTGGAATCCGTGTCTTCTTAATTTTATTTATTTATTTTTGACGTATAATGTAGTATGTCAATCCTTTCGAACTATTTAGATAACCACTTGATGCACAAATAGGAAAAAGCAGATTGTGGCAGTGTCGCCTTTTGTGGTTTTATGATTTTCAAATTGAATTTAATGATTACACCCTTTCCCTTCATAGATCTTTTTTCTTTTTTTTAAGCCATGCTGTGACCTACAAGCAAACTAAATAGCCAACATTTCTGAACCCCTATGTCTCCTGTGCCAAGCTGCTCCCTGAAATGGACTTCTTCATCTGTACAGATTTGTTAAACCATTCTATTTGCTTCTTAATAATAGGATTTATATTAGTACTCATTACCATTGGACACAATGACATAAGTACTCTCCACAGTAAAGCAGACCTTTCACAACAGTCACTCTGTGTCCTAAAATTTTCCAACATAGATGTGATTTATATAACTTTGTTGATACGTAAATTGTCTTGGGGTTTACGGAAATTAACTATTATGTTTGCACTAAGATTTGCTGGGAGTGGTAGGTGGACATATCTATATATCAATAAGGACTAACCGTCTTTTTTGTACATAGGAGATTGATAATACTGTATTTGTTTTAACCCCACAGTGTTTTACTCCACTTTCAAAAAGATCAATTTGGCACTTTTTTTCATTTTTTTTAATGGAAATAAGATTTGGTCTCTCATTTTAGGTTAAATGATAACTAGAAAGATTAAACTAGACAGATAGTTTAGGTGGAGTATATTTTTAAAACTCAGAACATGTATATTGGTCCTGTGTTACCAAGTTTATATGTGACAGTTGAAAAAAAAATTCCCTTGAAATGATCATGAGGTTAAAATTTTCTTCATTAGGGGACTTGGAGAACCAGTAGTCATAAGATTAGTTGATAGTTTCACTCCCAAGCAATGAATTGCTTCTGTGTGTTTCCCTGTAGGACTCAATAGTAAATCCTGTCTGTCTTACACATTTATAAGGACCCTGCAAGACGACGACAAAGGCCTTTGTCCTGTGCTACTAAACAAGAAGGCTATGAAAAATTTCTTCTTTAAACTTGTTTTTTCTCTTTCCAGTAAGTTCACATTTGGATAATTTTAAAAAGAAAAGTAATTACCTTTGTGTTTCCAGAACACTATAATTGGGGTGTATCTTAATTCAGTTAAATATTATTAGTAGACCTGGATTTTCCCCCTTGACCCCATCAGTCTATAAAGGTTAAACTGCAACTTTTATGAAATGGTCTTTAATATTTCCACAATAATCCTGTGCTATATTTGTTCTAAGAAACAAAGTAACTCTATACACTTCAAGACTTTACAGGATTTTTTAAATCCTGTATTGTTGGATCAATTAATAGAGATGCAAAAAAAACTTTATAGAGATGTAAAAACAAAACTATAATGGATCTCCTATTTTTCTTTAAATTAAAAAAAAAGGTAAATGAACTATTCTCCTTGTAAAGCTAAATTCCCCATTCTGTCTAATAAAGGAAGACTGAAAAAAGGTTTTAAAGAACATAAATGGAAAGATACAAATGCTTTGAAGGAATAAACGAAACATTAAAACAGGGTCAATCCATTTGAAGAAAAAGTTGGACAAAATAATCAGCATTGCTCCCTCTTTTATTTAATATTTGGGTACTGATTATATCCACATGGAAGTAGAAGGTAAGGAGTTTAGGAAAATACTAGAATCTACTCTGCTTACATTCTTGTTTAAGTGTTTACACAGTTTGGTTCAATTATAAACATTTGGCCTTTTACTATATTATTTTTATTTTGTATGAATACACTATCCTCCTTATTTATTTTTGTTACATTTATTACTTATGTTATTTTGTTATGCATTTACAACTCCATTTTTAAATAAAGTGTTTCTGTAACTTTATACAATGATTGTATATTTTATTTCTTTTACCATCTTGCTTGCTAATACTTCATCAACTTATCAAATGATTATAAACCATTTCCCAAGGCTTAGCAAAAGAAAGAATCCTCCAGTTCTATTAATATGTGGTTACTGTGAAATCTCTTATTAGTTTGACTATTTAAAGAAAAAAATTTTCTTAGCAGATTCTGATCAATATAATTCACTTAGCTTCATGTCCTAAAGTAATGTGCATGTACAAGGTCTTTATTTTTAACCAGCTTTAGATCATCAGAAAGCTTTATGACAGTGATGTATTTGGGGAATAAATAGAAATTTAAAATACTTTTGTCATCTTAAATTCAATAACTGTCAATTTATACTGTTTTTTTTTATCCTATCAAGCTCAAGAATCTTGAATGTCTCATTATTATTATTCAAAATTCTAAGTTTCACAGCTTAACCTTTTGAGACTTTGTGTGTTCTGGCCCTTTTCTTACGTGCGTATCTATGTGTCCCATTATAGTATTTACCACCATTTACAAGTTTCTTGACCACCATGAGTTTTTCATCCTTCTGTACCCTGCGTCTTCCTCCCCTTCCTTCCTGCTTCAAGGTCCCACCAACCTCTTCATAAAGCTTCCTTCACTTGACCGCACCACATAGGGCTGTGCCACATACGGCTGTGCCACATACGTGCATTTTCTCTTCCCTTCCCCCATGACATATACACGTTTCTTCCCTGGTAACTAAAGTAATCTTCATTTCCTGGATAGTCCCTTTGCTTTGAAACATCTGTGCCATTTTGTCTCCTTCATCTCTCCTTGGATTTGCTTGCCACATCTCTGCCTGAAAGGATTCTAACTTGGAAAGGAAACCAAACTTGGAAGTTTGAGATCCAGACCCACTCCCTCCTAGCTATCAGTGTGTTCCGTCCTCTCATCTGCAAAATTAGGACATTAGTGTTATTATCCAAGTCCCTTTTAGTCTAAGTTGTCTATGACTTTATGAAATGTTCTCCTTCAAAAAGCTTTTTCTGATTCTTTGTCATTTCAAATCTTCCTTTCATTGTGTTTGCATAACCCCTTTGTGTTTGCATAATACAGAAAGTTCTTAGAAACCAAAATAAAAATGTATTTAATTGAATCAGCATCAATTGAGATGTACGTACTTACTTTCAAGAAACAGTCTATTGGGAGATGGCTTTGTAAACAATTCACTCTAAGGTGAGGTAGAATGGGATCTCTACACGTAGGAGACAAATGCAGCCTTTTTTTTTTTTTTTTTTGTCTTCTGTGTTTAGGTAACGGGGACAGGCAGGGAGCCAATAACCACAGGCATCTGGCTGCCAGCAAGGGTTTGAGGGAGGTTTATGAAGCGCCTTTGTCTTTGAGTCATGGTCTCTCATGTGACAGTAGTCAAGCCTGCTTCTTCCTGTAAGTCTTCAACACGACACAGTTGCTTACATGCTTTCATCGCAGTCAGTTTCAAAAACTACATGGTTGCTGTTTTTGTGTTTTACCCCAGTGCTCTGAAAGCATCCTAGCCTACAAACAGAAATGGCTCAAAGCCTCTTAAACAGAAATGGAATTGGTTATGTTCGTTCTTTTGCTATTTCACTATTACATTTGTTGCTGCTTTTCCTGAATCTTGACCATAAGGAAAAGTTCCCCGTCAGCCACATTCTGTCTCTAACACCTCGCCACCTGGAACAGATTCTTGTTGAATATTTAGTTGTCTTTAACTCTTGTACATCCTGCAATGTACAACAAACATTTTGTAGATTTTGTTAATTAAAATATTTTAGAGTTATTATGACCACTATAACTTACTACTGCTACTGTGAGGTCTAACCTTGAACTGAAGGATGAAAAATTATTTAAATTTTGAAGCATAGTACATTAGCTCTAGAAATGCTCAACACTAGTTCAGCAACGTCATATTTAGAGTAATTGAAACAAATATAACAAGGAGTGAGGGGCTGTTTTTTCTAGGCAGTATAATAAATGCTTTACCTGCACTGTCCCTTTTAATGCTCACACCTCATTAATAAGCTGTTACTCCTACATTAGAGATGAAGGAACTGAGGCAGCGGCCCAGTTGGGATTTGATCAACACGTATTTGACTTGGAAATCCAAACTGTTTATAACCATTCTCCACGGGCTGTCACCCAGCAAACAACTGGTAGAGCCTAGACAAACCAAGTGACTTGTATTCACCCTTTACAGCTTTGTCTCGTGACCACAGACCCGAAGAGGCCACCAGGCCCTTCCTCTGCTTTTGAGTAGAACTTCTAGAGCTGGGGATCCTGAGCTTCTCTACTGATGACCAATGCTAAGACCAAATGCTAAGAATGTCTTTGTTATGTGAAACAGATTCTTTGAAAGAGATAATGAACTGTCTCCTTGAAAGCTGGATGTTGGGTGCTTCAGGAAGAATGCTATGAAGAACCACGTCGGTTTATGAGCTGACTGTACTCTCCACTTGTTTTAAAGAGGTGAAACCCAGGGCTGCCAATAGAAACTCTGGTGACTCCACATCAGAGCTACGTGACCAGTGAGCTGCCTCCCAAGGTATTTGTTACAACACTTGTCTCTGAGCTAGGCCAAATAAAATGGAGTAAAAAACCACCCCTTGGACTAACAGAGCATGACCATGGAAATTTCTCAGGACAAACAGTGGCTGGAGTGTAGCAAGGCAGAAAGCAGCATGGTCTTAACCTGACACTTAGAGATAAAACAATAAAAAGTGTAGGGGGCTCCTATGCCAATTTGCAATAATGAGCAAGGGTAGTGACAGTTGGATTTTTCTTGAATGAGAAAAATTTCCATCAAATTTGAAACGAAATAAACACACAAAGTCTCTGTGCTATTTCCATGGTAATGTTTGCACCCAAGTCTCTGGAGCTCTGGCTTCTCACTTGCTTTTCCATAGTGTCTACTCGGTGATGAAAAGCAGCATTTCACGGCCAAGACTTTCAGCTGTTTGGCAAAGACCATCATGTCCAGCATATGGAGGATCTGTGAACTTTGCCACGTCTGCTTCCTGTTACCAGTCTGTCTATGGTAATAGCCCAGAGTCTTCCCTTCGAGAGAAAAAAAAAAATCAATTTACCCTAAATTTTTAATTGCCCTATAAGACTTCATAATATGAACAGCATTTTCAAAAAGGCACAAAGAAAAAATGGTACAACCACTTTGGAAAACTAGAAATTCCTTATTAATGTACACCTACCACACAACCCAGCCATTCCACTCCTAGGTATTTTGCCCAAGTGAAATAAAATCATATGTCCACAAAAACACCTGTACACAATGCTTATAGAAGCCATATTTGTTATAGCTGGTAACTGGGAACATTCCAATGTTCACCAACAAGTGAGTGGATCACAAATAGGATGTATCACAAATAGTGAAACATTCATAAAATGAGATTCCGTTCAGCAATAGAAACGAACATGCTACTGACACACACAGTAACATGGGCCGATTTCAAAAACATGCTGAGCTAAAGCAACTGACCCAAAAAAGGGCATGCTTTATGAGTCAATTTATGTGAAATTCTAGGAAGGACAAAACACTGATAGTGACTGAGAACAGATCAGTGCTAGTAGGGTGGGAGGTGAGAGGAAATTGCCTACAAAAAAATCACAAGCGAGTTTTTTGGGCATGGCGGCAGTTATTCACAGGAGTGAGTACATGTCATGAAACTCACCAGGTACATTTAAAATGATTCTTTTTATCATATGTAAACTATTTCTCAATAAAGTTGATCCATGTTAAAATGGCATGGATAGTTCTCTATAACTTTGATGCACATAATTACTTCCTCAAACTGCTTTTTGGGGAACATGTCACCTCTTTCTCCTGCATTGCTCTACTGATTCTTAGCTCTCCAAAGCATCCTATTACTAGGAAGTGTCACTGTGACTTTTCCAAAGCTACTGCTTTCCTCTCCAGGGTCAATTTAGGAATCAAGCAGCTTTCAGAGGGAAGAAGTTGACTTTCATAGGACAAAAGCAAGCAATGGTCATTGTGAAGGGCCATCATTGAACTGTATTCCTTTTCATTTAGCTCCAGCAGGTGTAATAAAGTGTGCTAACGGACTGTGGTCAGCTTGGATTCCGTAGTCTACTATTACCACTTGGAGAGATCCCTGGTTCCTCATCCACACCACCAACAGATGAGCACTAGGCTGACTGCTGAACATATATGCGGTCATTTATTTAAGTATCTCTATGATCAAGCATAATTAGGTAATCATCATCTATATATTCACAGGAATGAATATAGTCCTTGTCCTTAAGGAAGAGGAAGTTCAAACCCTACCACAAGAGGCAAATACATAATTTTAACACAATTTGTGAAAAAGTTTTCAGCCCAAATTGCTCCCTTCTACCTAGCGCTAGGCTTAAACACTGACCAAACTGGTATTGAATAAATGTTTATTGGATGGATGGATGGATGGATGGATGGATGGATGGATGGATGGGTGGATGGGTAGATGGATTAAAAGGAGCAAGCAGGCCGAGCATGGTGGCTCACGCCTGTAATCCCAGCACTTTGGGAGGCCAAGGCGGGTGGATCACGAGGTCAGGAGATGGAGACCATCCTGGCTAACATGGTGAAACCCCGTCTCTACTAAAAATACAAAAAAGTAGCCGGGCGTGGTGGCGGGCACATGTGGTCCCAGCTACTCGGGAGGCTGAGGCAGGAGAATGGCGTGAACCTGGGAGGCAGAGCTTGCAATGAGCTGAGATCGCGCCACTGCACTCCAGCCTGGGCGACAGAGCGAGACTCTGTCTCAAATAAATAAATAAATTAATTAATTAATTAAATAAAAGGAGCAAGCAGAATTCTGATCTCAGTTGTGTCTGAACTAAGATTATGCACTTGGGGCTGGGCACAGTGGGTCACACCTGTAATCCCAGCACTTTGGGAGGCTGAGGCGGGTGGATCACTTGAGGTCTGGAGTTCGAGACCAGCCTGGCCAACATGGTAAAACCCCATGTCTACTAAAAATACAAAAATTAGCAGGGCGTGATGGTGGGTGCCTGTAATTCCAGCTACTCAGGAGCCTGAGGCAGGAGAATCACTTGAACATGGAGGCAGCGGTTGTGGTGAGCCGAAATCATGCCACTGGACTCCAGCCTGGGCTGGGCAATACAGTGAGTCTCTGTCTCCAGAAAAAAAAAGAAAAAGAAGATTATGTACGTAGTTTGAAGGAAAAGGCTTCAGGGAGCCCCCACTATTAGAGATTCTGTCTACAAATCATATGGCCCTTTCCTTGGCCTCCTCTCTGGAAATATAAAGTTCCTGCAGAATCAGCAATTTCTTAGTAATTCAGTAGTTTGGTCAGATGTTCCCTCATTGGAAGGAGTGGCAACAGCCCTGAAGGACACCAAGTGCTAGCAGGTAAAAGGGCAGACGACGGGTGAGCGGGAAGGTGGGGAGGCAAACTTAACTCATCCACAGCTTTCTGAGAACAGCTGAGAGGGTAAGAGGAGGTGAAGCTGCCTACTTTCTTTTGATATTTCTAAGTACATGCCCCCAGATCAGACCTCAGGTCACCATATCAAATTATAATATTTGGCTGATGTTCTCTAGAGACTCCTTTGTTTTATGTTGTTTTTCCAGACATGCAGTTCCAGAAGAGTCCACTGTGCTTGCCACCATGGAAAACTGGCCAATGGCCTGAGTGGGATTTACTTTTAGCCAGGTTGTGCTAAGCTGTATGAAAGCAAATATAAATTTCAAACAAAGAGCCAGAAGACAAAAGTACTGAACCTCATGGCTTAGATGCAGAAACTGATATTTGTATCAGGAATCTGCTGTCCTGGAGAGAAACTGAAAGCTCTAACCTATTAGATCTCAGAGGTCTCCATATTTTGCTTCTCATGAAAGCACACTAAATGCACAGTCAGTATTTTAAAATGAGCCACACAGTGGAATATTCCTCAAATATAAAAAGAAATGAAGCACTGATACATGATCCAACAAGAACGAACCTTGAAAACAGTATGTCAAGTGAAAGAAGCCAGCCACAAAAGACCACAGATTGTATGATTCCATTTATATGTAATGTCCATGAGAGAAAATCTGTAGAAGCAGGAAATAGACTAGGGGCTGACTATGGCTGGGCGTGGGGGTAGAAGTGGGAGGTTAAGAGTTACGATTAAAAGGCACAGAGTTTTCTTTTGGCATCATGAAAAGATTCAAAATTGATTGTGGTGATGCTTGCACTGCTGTGTAAATACATTAAAAACCATTGAATTGGCCAGGCGCGGTGGCTCACGCCTGTAATCCCAGCACCATGGGAGGCCAAGGCAGGCAGATCACAAGGTCAGGAGTTTAAGACCAGCCTGACCAATATGGTGAAACTCCGTCTCCACTAAAAATACAAAAATTAGCCAGGCGTGGTGGCACTGGCCTGTAATCCCAGCTACTCAGGAGGCTGAGGCAGGAGAATCCCTTGAACCCAGGAGGCAGAGGTTGCAGTGAACCGAGATCATGCCACTGCACTCCAGCCTGGGCGACAGAGCGAGACTCCATCTCAATAAAACAAAAAAAAACCAATGAATTGTACAATTACAACAGGTAAATTATTGCATATATATTTATAACAGGTATGTGAATTATCTCTCAATAAAACTGTTAACAAAAAAAGAAAATAATGAATGATGCATCTTGATATGGTTTAGCTCTGTGTCCCCACCCAAATCTCACTTTGAATTGTAATCCCCATTACCCCCACCTGTCAAGGGCAGGACCAGGTGGAGGTCATCGGATCACGGGGGCGGTTCCCCTAAGCTGTGTCGTGGTAGTGGGTGAGTCTCACGAGATCGGATGGTTTTATAAGAGTCTGGCAATTCTCCCTGCTTGCACTCATTCTCGCTCTCCTGTCACCCTGTGAAGAGGTGCCTTCTGCCATGGTTGTAAGTTTCCTGAGGTTTCCCCAGCCATGCAGAACTGTGAGTCAATTAAGCCTCTTTTCTTAAAAATTACCCAGTCTCAGGTATTTCTTTATAACACTGTGAGAATGGATACATGTCAGGTGAAGACGCAACCGGTTATGGTGCCATGAAAGTGGCCAGTTTTGCATTTATTTGCATTCCTTCTTGCCTGCATGTCCTCTAGATTTTCCTTTGTATTGGTTTTAACATGCTATTGGTTCCCTCATTAATTAATGAGTTAAATAAAATCTTGGATATATGTGTTTTTTTTTTAAAAAAAAAAAGCAAATGGGATATTTCTCATGAAGAGTTTTAGTTTATCAAAATGAATCATACTGGAAGAACTGGAAAGAGTATTACTATCGCCACTCAAACAAGCAGCTACAATGTGCTGACACTGTATTGGGTCCTTCAGTACCTCATTTAATCTTCACAACAACCCAGACTCTTACACAAGAATTCTTAGTCCTATGTTATAGAAGAAGTAGAGGCTAGAGCCAAATAAGAGACTCTAGGTTACAAAGTAAGTGAGAGAGTCAAAATCTGAACCCTGGTCCAACTGACTTCTTCAATCCTCTTTATTTTCAGTCATAAAAAGACAACATATTGTAATTATAGTAAAAAGCTAATTGGTGGAGTTAAGAATCTTGCAGCTAAACTTAATGTGTTATTGGTTTTGTGCAAGTGCTTTCAGCTGTAGCCTCAGTATTTGTAAAATGGGGTGGAGGCGATGTTGAGTAGTTGAGCTCTAAGGTATCTTCTTGCTGTATTAGTGGCTATTCTGTGGACTTCAGCTATTGTTCTCTTCGCTGTCTTCCCCCAGATTTCTGGAAAAAATGTTTTGTTAGCTCTTTGTCAGTAATTCTGCCTCTCTTCCTGTTCTGCTTAATGGGTGACTCCCCAGGTGTTCACTCTTTCGTCCAGAAGTTATTCTTCTTTCAGCTGCTTCTCCCAGAAATGTTCAGTCCTATTGCTTCACCATAATGTTTTGCTCATTTCACTTCTGCCCACGTAAAGGCTGCCAGTGATTCAGGCTGGATCAGTATATCCTGGTGATTATGGTATCATTTCCAGGAAAAGGGCCAAACACTTACCGAACCCCTTCGTTACGGCAGGTGCCGTGTGGCCAGTGCAGTATCGTGAAAGTTTGTTTTCCCCATATTTCTCCCTTTGGCCAACCCAATTGCTCACACACTGCGAGGAGAGATGTGGCAGGGTAGAAAGCAAAACCCACTGCAGTTCACTCTGGTTTTGAGATTTTCAGGACCAACACGGTTAATAGAATGTATATGACTTTTTTTGAGATGGAGTCTCACTCTGTCGCCAGACTGGAGTGCAGTGGTGTGGTCTCGGCTCACTGCAACCTCTGCCTCCAGGGTTCAAGCGATTCCCTTGCCTCAGTCTCCCAAGTAGCTGGGACTACAGGCATGCACCACCACACCTGGCTAATTTTTTGTATTTTAGTAGACACGGAGTTTCACCATGTTGGCCAGCATGGTCTCGATCTCCTGACCTCGTGATCTGCCTGCCTTAGCCTCCCAAAGTGCTGGGATTACAGGCATGAGCCACCGCGCCCAGCCTAGAATGTATATGATTTTTTTAAGAGAAATGAAAAGGAAGCAGATTCTCACGCTTTGATAGAATGTCTTAGCTGGATGTGAAGAAAGGATTACTTCCACACTAAAAAATGAGGATCCTAGGTCCCCAGAGAGGTCACCGCAGAGCCACTGGGGAGACAACGTCCTGAGGAAAAGCTGCAGCAGAGTGTGCCTGGGCAGCTGGGGCTTCGGGCAGCCTGGGAAAGAGGCCCCTTGACTTGATGTCCACATGGAAGCAGCAGGGACCCCTAGGACTCACGGGTCAGGCTCCCGGGACAACAGGCTCTCCAAGGTAACTCCTGTGCAGAGCTTGACACCATGTGGGAGTTTGTAGCATACTCGGAGGGGGCAGTGGGATACCTCGAAAAGATTGAATTCAAGCATCTTCCCAGTCTGCTGTGAAGGGGAGTTTGAAATAAAAATTAAGCTGGTTTAGAGAAAATGTGATATTTTGTGCATATCCAAGTTTATGTATTGTGGATTGATACATAAATATATATATCCATATGTAAAGAGAGTTAGCTGTTTATATATATTTATATAGATCTATCTATAGCTATACCTCTCTCTGTGTATATATACATAGCTCTAAATATATATGTGTGTGTGTAGATAGATATACAGATATATGTGGAGAGAAAGAGAGCCTATATCTAGGTAATCTAACCTTAACCTTTAACAAAATACTGATGTTTTTTGTTCTTTTTCTTTTTTCTTTTTTTCTTTTTCTTCAGAGACAGGATCTGGCTCTGCCACCCAGGCTGGAGTGCAGTGGGGTGATCATAGCTCACTGTAGCCTCCACCTTCCTGGGCTCAAATAATCCTCTCACCTCAGCTTCCAAGTAGCTGGGACTACAGGCATGAAACACCATGCCCATCTAATTTGATTTTTGTAGAGGTGGGATCTCACTATGGGATCTCACTATGAGCCCAGGCTGGTCTCAAACTCTGGAGCTCAAGCAATCCTCATGCCTTGGCCTCCCAAATTGCTTGGATGACAGATGTGCACCACTGTACCTGGCCTGTGAGGCAGCTCTTACTGCCATTTTTTGGGGTGAGGAAACAAGCCCAGGCAGATTTGGTTATTTACTTCTCGCCCCACGGCCAGAGGAAGCAGAGCCAGGGTTTCAGCCAAGGTCACTTCCTTTGGGACAATCTTGCAAATGAAGGCCAGGCAAGGTGGCTCACACCACTAACACCAACATTGTTGGGGGGGGTGTCTAGGCATCCAGATCACTTGAGTCTAGGACTTTGAGACTAGCCTGGGCAACATGGTGAAAACCCGTGTCTACAAAAAATACAAAAAAATTAGCTGGGTATGTTGTTACACACTTGTAGTCCCAGCTACTTAGGAGGCTGAAGTGGGAGAATCACCTGAGCTGGGAGGTCCAGTCTGCAATGAGCCCTGATCACATCATTACATTCTAGCTGAGGCAAGAGTGAGAGCCTGACTTAAAAAAAAAAAATGAATAGTGCCCCACTTTCACTCCCCGAAGTGTTTGCATTTGGTTAACGAATTTTAACTTCATCCACATTTGATGACCACAGCGCTCTCCATCACTTCCTGCTGCCTCATTTTCGAAAGCCAAGAGAGTAGGAGGAACCCCTGGTGCTTGGGGCACATGCCCTGCAGGGTGCATGCCCTTTACAAAGTCATGGGAGCTGCGGCTCCAGGAGTCAGACACCGAGCAGCTTGGAGCATTTGGCTTCCTTCCTTTGCGTGCCTGGAGCATTCGCAGAAAGCCTGCACAGCAAGCGAGAGAGTGCTGGGGAGGGTGGAAGCTGTTTGGATTAGGATCCCCAGGGGTTTTGTGGTTCAAAGCAGGTGGAGCACATTTTGAGGGCCTGATGATGTATACCATTTAGGAAGCCATTTAAAAGACAAAGAATACAAAAGTATGAATACAAAATTTGGCAGTAAAGTGAATATTTAGAAAGAGACTAGAAGTCACAACAAACCAAAAATTTCAAGAAGCTGGGGGGAGAAAAGCCACAACATCACCAAATCCAGGAAAAATAAACCTCTACAATTTTTCCTGGGTTTAAAAAATTTTATTTTCAATTGACAAATTAAAATTCTGTATATTGTTGGCAACATGTTGTTTTGAAATATGTGTATATTGTAGAATGGTTATTAAATTGAGCTAATTAACATATGCCTTACCTCACATACTTTTCATGTTTTTGTAGTTCAAGCATTTAAAATCTACTCTTAGCAATTTTTAAGAATACAATCATGTTGGCTTTTTTTTTTTTTTTTTTTTTTTGAGACGCAGTCTTACTCTGTCACCCAGTCTGGAGTGTAATGGCCCGATCTCTGCTCAATACAACCTCCACTTCCCAAGTTCAAGCGATTCTCTTGCCTCGGCCTCCCAAGTAACTGGGATTACAGACACGCGCCATCATGCCTGGATAATTTTCGTATTTTTTTTTTTTTCCAGTAGAGACCCAGTTTTGCCATGTTGGACAGGTTGGTCTCGAACTCCTGACCTCAGGTGATCTGCCCGCATCAGCCTCCCAAAGTGCTGGGATTACAGGTGTGAGCCACCACGCCCAGCTCAATATATTGTTATTAACCAGAGTCACCATGTTTTACAATAGACCTCTTGAACTTATTTCTTCTATTTCACTGAAATTTTGCATCCGTTAACCAACATCTCCCCAGCCACCCAGCCCCTGGTAACCACCACTCTACTCTGTTTCCATGCAATCGACATTTTTAGATTTCACATTGTATAACAGTGAAACAGCAAAAGAACATAACTAACTCCATTATTGTTTAAGGGGCCTTCACCCATTCCAGCATATAGGCTAGGATAATTTTAGAGCACAAGATAAAACACAAAAACAGCCATCTGAGATTAAAGGAGAAGTATGTAAACTACATTTTGTTAAAGATTTATAGGAGTGGGGCACAGTGGCTCACACCTATACTCCCAGCACTTTGGGTGGAAGGATCACTTGAGTCCAGGAGTTCAAGACCAGTCTGGGCAACATAGTGAGACCCCATATTTACAAAAAAATGGAAAAATTAGCCACACCTGGTGGCGTGTACCTATAGTTCCGGCCACTGGGACTGAGGCAGGAGGATTGCTTGAGCCCAGGAACTTGAGGCTGCAGTGAGCCATGATCATGCCCCTGCATTCCAGCCTGAGTGACAGACCAAGATCCTATTAACAATAAAAAATAAAAAGATTTATAGGAGCATTGTGACCTGACCAAAAGCTAAGACTTTCCCCACCTTCTAGGACCCTTACTGGCACCCAGATGTCTGTGGTCAACAGTCACCTATTGATCTCATGCCCCTCCTCTTCCTTCTGCTCTTAACAGAAAAAGAGACTGAAATTTATCCTGACTTAAGGTGGCACTTTAGGATGCTATTATCCTCTTGGTTTACTGGCTCTCTGAACAAACCTGGCTTTTGTCCCACCAACGCTTTTTTTTTTTCGAGATAGAGTTTAGCTCTTGTTGTTGCCCAGTCTGGAGTGCAATGGCAAGATCTGATCTCTTGGCTTGCTGCAACCTCCACCTCCCAGGTTCAAGCAATTCTTCTGCCTCAGCCTCCCAAGCATCTGGGATTACAGGCACGTGCAACCATGCCTGACTAATTTTGTATTTTTAGTAGAGACGGGGTTTCATCATGTTGGTCAGGCTGGTCTCGAACTCCTGACCTCAAGTGATCCACTCGCCTCAGCCTCCCAAAGTGCTGGGATTACAGGCATGAGTCACCACACCCAGCCTGTCCCACCAACTCTTGTATCTCATGTTTGACTTTTGGTGAGTACCTGAACCTGGGTTTGGTTACAACACATAAATGAGATCATGCGGTATTTGTCTTTTTGTGCTTGGCTTATCTGACTTAGCATAATATCCTCCAGGTTCATCCATGTTGTCACAAATGACGGAATTTCCTTTTTTTAAGGATGAATAGCATTCCACTGTGTATATATGCCATACATCCCACATTGTCTTTATCCACTCATCTGCTGCTGGACACTTAGGATGCTTCCATATCTTGGCTATTGTGAATAGTGCTGCAATGAACATGGGAGTGCAGATATCTCTTCAACGTACTGATTTCATTTCCTTTGGATAGATACCCAGTAGTGGGATTATTGTAGCATGGCAGTTCTATTTTGAATTTTTCGAAGTATCCCCATACTGTTTTGCATAAGGACTGTAGTCATTTATATTTCCAGCAATAGTGTTGAAATATAAATAACTATACAAACTTATAAATATAAATCATCTCCACATCCTCTCCAACACTTGCTGTCTTTCGTCTTTTTGATAATAGCCATTCTAACAGGTATGTGGTGATATATTATTGTGGTTTTACTTTGCATTTCTTTGATTAGTGATGTTGAACTTTTTTTTTTTTCATATACCTATTGGCCATTTGTATGTCTTCTTTTGAGAAATGTCATTTCCTGTATCATCTGGCTATATTCTCTTTGCTGGCCCCAACATGTGATGAAAATTTTGTAATATCATTTTCCATGGAGAGAAGAGAAAGATACTCAGTCTTTCCTCTGGCACAGTTGATCAAGTTTGTTTTTTATGGTAAGACTTCACACATAGGTGTACTTGCTATTTATCGTATTGCTATAAGTTTGTGCCAAAGAGGCACAGGAGTTCTGATGAATTCTATTTTCTTTCACTATTCCCATCAGGAAAGAAAACTGATGAATGGTAGATTTATAAATGTTTATGTTGCATTCACAAGCATATTCCTGGTGAAAAACTTACTTTTGATGAGACATTAATAAAAATCTGCTTCTCTGTTTACAATATTAAGTCAGGTGATTGAAAGGTTATTTACCAAGAACTTCAACTAGGCTTCTTAACAGCAACAAAAACTAGAAGGCAGAGGACTAATATATGTTGTTTATGGATGTATATTTATGTAGAAGAAGTATGAAAGCAGATGTGGGGATGATATACACTATTTTTTTTTTTTTTTTTTTTTTTTGAGATGGAGTCTCGCCCTGTTGCCCAGGCTGGAGTGCAGTGGCACAATCTCGGCTCACTGCAACCTCTGCCTCCCATGTTCAAACGATTCTCCTGCCTTAGCATCTTGAGTAGCTGGGATTAGACGCACCCACCACCATGCCCAGCTAATTTTTTATTTTTAGTAGAGATGGAGTTTCACCATGTTGGCCATGCTGGTCTCGATCTCCTGACCTCAAGTGATCCACCTGCCTTGACCTCCTAAAGTGCTGGGATTACAGATGTGAGCCACTGTGCCCCGCCGATACACACTAATTTTTGAATAGAGTTATGTCCAGGGATGGAGGGAAAGAGAGGGTGATGCACACTGGGTGAGGCAGTAGCTGGACTGTAATATTTTGTTTATTAAGTAAATAGCATGTTTACTGAAAAGATGGGTTTGAAGCAAATAAGATAAAATATTAACAGCTGTTTTATCTTGGTGGTATACCACACAATTTATCATTTTCTGTGTTTTTTGTATGCCTGAATTGTTTCACATTTTTAAAAACTGTTTTGAAATATATTTCCTTTTCCCCTTCATTATGTTTAAAGAATGCCAATCAGTAAAAGGACTGAAATTGAGAGTGAATTTCTGGTATTTCTGATCAAGGAGAGTAAATCATTGGATCAACTTGTCATAAACTTGATGGAGATACATGTAAAAAGAAAAAAATGACACTGAACTTCTTTTCTGAAACTGAGCTAGCACTTCTGAAAAGAGCAAAATCACAGAACCCAGATCCATTAAGCTTATTCTTTGGCTCATGCAATTACATACACGAGTTCTTACATCCCACATTCAGACCTCTGTATTTCCTGCTTTGCATTCAGGAACATTTATAGTCAATGAATATCTGAATACCTAATAGAATTACTAATGGTGATTTTGGAATTCCATTTTTCTAAGTTTTTTTGTTTGTTTGTTTGTTTGTTTTAATACAAAGTTCCTTTGGTCAATGACTTAGCTGTGGTCTCGCCTAGATACAGGGAATGGACTTCTCCAAGTCCCCAAGTATCTCTTGTGAGTTCATCACACGGTTACATAACATATTCCCTGGCTTATTGCCTTAATTGGCCTCCAGAATTTTCTAATTTGGGAAAGTGTTCCCAGAAAAGAAGATAGAGGGATTGGGAAGAGTGACACAGGGAAGGAAGGAAGGCAAATGGGAGTGCAATCTCAGCTTGTTCACTCCTGGAGGCAGCTGGGGCATGACTGCGCAGGGGCTCCTAATGAGCCACGGAGTGACTTCAGAATGCACGGCATGTGCGCCTGAAAGAGGGAGGGAACCTTTATTCATCAATTTCCAGCTCCGATTCTTCAAGGGGTGTTCTTGGGGCATGAATTCTCTTGTGCATTGGGATGATGCTTGTGTGAGTGCTGGGCCGATTGCTGCAGGTGTTCCATGCTGTGGTGTCAAAATGCAAGAGATATGCGGCAGCAGAGGGGAGGTGCTGGGAGGTTTCATCTGCTCGAAGCTGCTTGCTCTAGCAATAGCTAGAGTAAGAGATGGACGAAGGGTATGAGCCAGGGCCTAAGTTTTGTGCCATCAGGTGATCCTGAGAAAATGGCAATCTCCTGGGTTGTGTGAAATGAAAACCTACTGCTCTGCCCTTCTTCAGTCACACAAGAGAAGACAAATCCATGTGTTGTTCCCGTCACTCAGGGGGCAAAACCGTACATCAGGGTTGCTGACTTTTAGCACTGAAAATTATTATTTTTTGTTATTATGTGTTTGAATCAAACAATATTGTATGAAATAGGCCATGTCCTGGTTTTCAGAGAAAGCAGTAAATCCATTCCAGAGTCCCTCGGGAGTGTCCCAATGCAATGCATTTGGAGAAAATGCTCTTCATGAATGGCCATTAGGGTTATTACATCCTTAATAAAATAAGCAAAAAGAAGGCATTTTTCCCCTTTTACATTTTACGTTATAAGTGTGTGTTGGCCAGGCGCAGTGGCTCACGCCTGTAATCCCAGCACTTTGGGAGGCCGATGTGGGCGGATCACGAAGTCAGGAGATTGAGACCATCTTGTGAATGGTGAAACCCCATCTCTACTAAAAATACAAAAAATTAGCTGGGTGTGGTGGCTGGCGCCTGTAGTCCCAGCTACTCGGGAGGCTGAGGCAGGAGAATGGCGTGAACCCAGGAAGCGGAGCTTGCAGTGAGCTGAGATTGCGCCACTGCACTCCAGCCTAGGTGACAGAGTAACACTCCGTCTCAAAAAAAAAAAAAAGTGTGTGTTATAAGGATAATGATGATGCAAGGGCTTCATTAGGAAAAAATGTTGCCTAAACTGCATTTTTTTTTTTTTTTGAGACAGGGTCTCACTCCCATCACCCAGACAGGAGTGCCGTGGTGTGAACATGGCTCACTGCAGTCTTGACTTCCCTGGGCTCACTTAGGTGATTCTCTCACCTCAGCCTCCCAAGTAGCTGAGATTACAGGCGTGCACCACCACACCCAGCTAATCGTTCATAGTTTTGGTAGAAACTGGGTCTCGCCATGTTGCCCATGCTAGTCTCAAACTCCTGACCTCAGGTGATCCACCCTCCTCGGCCTCCCAAAGTGCTGGGATTACAGGCGTGAGCCACCATGCCTGGCCTAAACTGCATTGTTTATCTCGATTTTCAACTTTGGATTCTCTAAGTAGCCATGATTCACCCTCACTGGATTTGGAGAAAGCAAAAAAATACATGAAAATATTTTTTATCTTAGACTCTAAGATCATAACGAGAAGCTTATAACTAAGCCTGTCTTACAAACACCTGCGATAACCTGCTAGAAATGTCAATATCAATATACAGGCCATGTCTGCACCTGTCTAGTTACAACTGTTGGCTGCACATCTGGGGAAACCGAGGAAGAACACACCCCAAAGTGCGGGGAGCCTGATGAGTTCACCAAACCCCAGGCTACCAGGAGGAAAGGAAATCCCTGGAGCCTTGAGTTAGGGGGTTTTTAAATAAAACAGTGGGCAGAATTATTTTATGCTTCAATAGGAAACGTATGGGCATCCCCTCACCAAGAGGCTCTATGTAATCCTGCTGAATTGCTTGAAAAAAGAACCCAGGCAATCCACGCATGACAGTCATAATGTTTTGTGAGAGAAATGAAAAGGCGTTTGGGGTGTGTTGGGACTGACATCTGGAAGGGAATCACGTGCTGCTCCGTGCTCTATTCCCGTGACTCCAAAATCAGAGACGGTTGGCAGAAACAGACCACTCACCTAAGCCAGGGGCGGGGCCAGGAGAAGACAGGAGGCTGATATTCGTTGCTGAACACCCATCATGCGCCACATAGTGAAGTGGAAAGTGGTTGCTCACTTCCAGGTTTGTCTGTCTCAAAGTGAGTGTCCCGCTGCTCCAAACCACGCAGGGTCCGGCTACCAGCTGCGCCCGCTGCTCTCCAGACATTGAACAGGGAGCTCGGCAGTCTCCAGGCCTCAGGGTCAGCCTGGTCCTAAGGGTCTCGGACTCAACCCTGGCAGCCAGCTGGGATCGCTTCCAGGCAAGGGTCACAGGACATTACATACTGTCCAATTTTATCTGAGTCAGCAAAAGGAGTTGCTCAAGGAATTCTACAGGGATTTGCCCAGAGCGGAGTAGGCTAGAATGAAAAACTAGCACATCAAAGGAAGAAAAATAACTTCAGTGTTTCCAAATTGTGTTTCTGGATACCTGGGATCATGAGACTCTAGGAAAATCTGATCCACTTTTTGTTGTGTTTCATCCCAAAGCAGCCGGCTGACCAAGAGGATGAGACCATTACCGTGAACCGCAGCAGCAGCAGCCAGGCCATTTTCTATCCTATGTTTTAACAGGCAAAGCGCTGCCATATACTTATGTCACAGAATGCTCAGAAGAACTCTGTTGGCATGTTTTACTGACCCACCACACAGATGAGGAGAGATGGAGTGTGCTAGTGACCTCCCCACAGTCAGAGCTTCTTGGTGGTAAGGCCGGCATTACCACCTGGATCTGTTGACTCTGGCTCCAGGGGACATTCTGTGACTCGGGAGAACCCGAGTTGAGACCGACTTCATCCAGGGTGCGATGGGAATCTGCCTGTGTATCCCATAGATGTTTCAGGCTTACCATGTTTTAAATTCAACCCCGATCTCCCATCTTACACCAAGCCCACTCTACCTGCAGCCTTCCCCACCTCAGTTACAGCAATGCCATTCTTTTTTTTTTTATGTGTTTTTGATAAATCTATTCTCCCCCAGCTTTATTGAGCTATAACTGACAAATACAATTATATAAATTTTAGGGGTACAATGTGATGATTTGATAAGTTTATATATTGTGAAATGATTACCATAATCAAGTGAGTTAAGATGTCCCTTGCCTTCTGTGGTTATGTGAAAGGAAAATAAAATCTCTGGGACCTCAAACCCCCTATGGCAAAGGGAAAAGTTAAGTTTGGGAGCTGAGTCATGCAAAAAACAACAATGACAACAAAAAACAAAACCTGCTTTCCTTTTGTTCCTAGACTCATAGCTGCAGGATAGAAGGCCACATACCTCTCCAGGTGGCTTCCCTCACCCTGTGTATTAGTTCATTTTCATGCTGCTGATAAAGACACACCCGAGACTTGGCAATTTACAAAAGAAAGTGGTTTAATTGGACTTACAGTTCCACGTGGCTGGGGAAGCCTCACAATCATGGTGAAGGCAAGGAGGAACAAGTCACATCTTACATGGATGGCAGCAGGCAAACAGAAAATTTGTGCAGGGGAAATCCTCTTTTTAAAACCATCAGATCTCGTGAGACTTATTCCCTGTCAAGAGAATAGCATGGGAAAGTCTTGCCCCCATGATTCAATCACCTTCCACCAGGTCCCTCCCACAACATGTGGGAATTCAAGATGAGATTAGGATGGGGACACAGTCAAACCAGATCACCCTGACAATGTAAGATAACTAACAGCTTATCTTCACGGGTGTGGAACAAAGACAAGACTAGAAATCATCCCTCTGCCCACCCCAAAACAAATGCATATTTGACTTCTTTCTCTACTCTATTTTTATCTTATGTAAAATGCAGATTTACTGAGCATGACAAGAATGCATAATTGACTGTTCCTCTATACCCTCCTCTCACATGTAACATGTGAATTCAGTAAGCACTAATGAAAGTTTCACAAGAATATAACCACTTATCTGGCTACCTACCCACTCTTTTCTTTCCTTTTTCCCCTCCTGCTGCTCTTTCCCCTTTAAATATTGAAGTCTTCAAAACCCTCTTTGGAAAACACATGGGCCACAGATTGGTAACTTGTGTTTCTTTTTCCCAGTGCATCCTCAACCTTGGCAACATGAACCTCTAAATTGATCAAGGCCTGTCTCAGACACTTTTTGGTGTACAATTACCTTCTTTGTGTGTCTGTGTGTGGTGAGAACATTTAAGATCTGCTCTCTCTTAGCAAATCTCAAGTATATAATAATCAGTAACCATAGACACCATGCTGTACAGTAGATTTCCAGAACTTATCTTCTATCTGAAAGTTTGTACCATTTGACCAACCTCTCTCCATTTCTCTCACTCCCCAGGCCCTGACAACCACACCTCTAATCTCTGCTTCTAAGTTTGACTTTTTTAGATTCCAAATGAGTGAGGTCACCCAGTATTTCTTTCTCTGACTCTTTATTTCACTGAACATACTGTGCTCCGGGCTCATCTATGTTGTGTCAAATGATAGGATTTTCTTCTTTCAAGGCTGAATATTATTCTGTTGTGTATATATACTCCATTTTCTGTATTCATCTGTTGACAGACAGATTGATTCTACACCTTGGCTATTGTGAATAGTGCTGCCGTGGACACGGGAGTGCAGATATTTCTTTGAGATACTGATGTTGTTTCCTGTGGATATATATCAGAAGTGGGATTGGTGGATCTCATGGTAGTTCTATTTGTAATTTTTGGAGGAAGCTCCATATTGTTTTCCATAATGGGGTACTAGTTTATGTTTCCACTAACAGCTTAGAAGTGTTCACTTTTCTCCACATCCTTACCAACCCTTGTCATGGCTTGTCTTCTATAGTAGCCATCCTGACATGTATAAGGTGCTGTCTCATTGTGGTATTGATTTGCATTTCCTTGATGGTTCACGATGTTCCACATCTTTTCATGTACTTGTGGGACATTTTGGTGTCTTCTTTGAAAAACGTCTTCAGGTCCTTAAGCCAACTTTGTTTTTTCAGTTACCCAAGTAAGCAAATAAATGAACAAACAAAATCCTTACAGTCATCGTTGTCTCTATTTTTCTCTCACACCCACATTCGATTTGTCATGAAATGCCATGAACTTGACCTGTAAAAATATCCAGAATTTGGCCACTTCTCACCACCCTCACAGCTGTCACCCTGGTCTGAATCACCGTTGACATTTGCATGGATTCTTGCAATGGCCTCCTAATTGGTCTCCCTGCTTCTTCCCTTTGTCCCCAATATAATAGCCAGAGTTATCTTTTTTTTTTAGACAGGGTCTCCCTCTGTCACCCAGGCTGGAGTGCAGTGGCACCATCTCTACTCACTGCAACTTCCACCTCCCCGGTCTCAAACGATCCTCCCACCTCAGCCTCTGGAGTAGCTGGAACCACAGGCAGGCACCAGCATGCCCAGCTATTTATTTTGTATTTTTTGTAGAGGCAGGGTTTTGCCATGTTGCTAGGCTGGTCTCAAACTCCTGGACTCAAGGCATCTGCCCACCTTGGCCTCCCAAAGTGTTGGGATTACAGGTGTGAGCCACCGCACACAGCCCAAGGTGTTTTTGTTTTGTTTTGTTTTGTTTTGTTTTGTTTTGTTTTGTTTTGTTTTTGAGATGGAGTCTCACCTGTTGCCAGGCTGGAGTGCAGTGGCACAAACTTGGCTCACTGCAACCTCCACCCCCCAGGTTCAAGCGATTCTCCTGCCTCAGTCTCCTGAGTAGCTGGGACTACAGGTGCACGCCACCGCACTCAGCTAATTTCTGTAGTTTTAGTACAGACGGGTTTTCACCATGTTGGCCAGGATGGTCTCTATCTCTTGACCTTGTGATCTGCCTGCCTCGGCCTCCTGAAGTGCTGGGATTACTTACAGGCGTGAGCCACTGCGCCCGTCCCAGAGTGATCTTTTAACAGGTGACTTAGATAATAAGTCTCTGCTCAGAACCCTGTACTAGCTCATTTCACTCAGTGTAAAAACTAAAGTTCTTACAACGATGACAAAGTCCTCTTTGTTTGTCCCACCCCATTGCTGTGATGACCTCCAGTAGGAGGAGTAGCTACTACGTGCTTCTAATCTACTCCAGCCACCCCGGCTTCCTTACCACTCCTCCGGCATCTCAGGCACGCCTACTCCAAGGTCTTTGCTCTAGATGTTCCATCTTCTTCAAATGCTCTTTCCTCATATTTTGCTTAGCCAACTCCCTCACCTCCTTCAAGTCTTCTCAGGGTTTGAAGAACTGAGAACTGTTTAACACCACATCCTGCTCCGTATCGTTGCATTCCAATCCTGCACGCCCGATTCTTTTTTTCTACAACCCTTATTTCCTTCTATGTTACTATATACAGGTAACCGGTAAACTGTGCTATTATTCAAATACATATTCTGACCCTCTCAGGAGGATTATCCTTTCCCCACCCCATTGGCCTTGGACATGGCTACATGACTGGGTCTGATTGCTGACATAGAAGCAAAAGCATTGTTACTTGTAGGCAGAAGTTACAGGAGCCAGCATGTGGCTTACCATGTTCTTTATCCTGCCATAATGCCTTTTGCATCTGACTTCTTTCACTTAGCAGTAGTATTTTTGAGTTCACCCATTTTTGAGTTTATGACACCTTGTTCCTTTTCATTGCTGAATAGTATTCCAAAATGTGACTGAACTACAATGTGTTTATTCAGAGTTGCAGATAATGGCTACTCCATCAGGCTGGGTCCTAGAAAGATGACAATCTGTCGCAGAGCTGTAGTTAACCAGTAATTGTCAGGTCTCATGGGTCAGAAATGAACTATTGTGCTAGAAGCCGCTGAGATTTTGCGAACTAACCTAATTGATGCATATCTGTGTTTTCTGCTCATTGATGGATCAGAAGCATATAGAAAGAGTTTGGAGTGTAGCAGGTCTTTAATAAATATTTGTTAAATGAATAGATGCTGAGGAACGTGATTTAAGGAATGGCAGGAATATTCCAGTCTTGAAATATCCTTCCCTCTCTGCTTTCTGAAACTTGAAACTGTAGTATTATAAATTTACCCTTTTAGGATAAGTATTATTACTCATTTTTAACATTATTAGAAGTATGCCATAATTGTTTTAATGAGTGTTTTTAGTATAAATGATGTGTTAAACATGATTTGGGACAAAGAAAACACATGCTAGTAATTGGAAAGAGTGCTAAAAAATTATCTCTCTATTCATCAAATGACTTACAGGTGAATAACTCTTGCTCTAGAAACTGAACCGTAAAAAAATTGGGCCCCTTTTTTAAAAATCATTACACAATTTATCTCTGATTCTCAAACTTCTGTTATCATTAACATTATTTTTTAAGTTTTATAATTTTTTTTTTTTTTGAGGCAGAGTCTCTCTCTGTTGCCCAGGCTGGAGTGCAGTGGCGCAATCTCGGCTCACTGCAACCTCCGCCTCCCAGGTTCAAGCCATTCTCCTGCCTCAGCCTCCCAAGTAGCTGGGATTACAGGCGAGCGCCACCATGCCCAGCTAATTTTTGTATTTTTTAGTAGAGAAGGGGTTTCACCATGTGGGCCAGGCTGGTCTCAAACTCCTGACCTCAGGTGATCGACCTGCCTCTCCTCCCAAAGTGCTGGGATTACAGGTGTGAGCCACCGTGCCCAGCCAAGTTTTATAATTTTAAAGTAGCTTTATTGAGATACAATTTACATACAATAAAATTTGCTAATTTCAGGTATACAGTTCAATGCCCTAAAATAATTTTTTTTACACAGAGTCTTGCTCTGTGGCCCAGGCTGGAGTGTAGTGATGCGATCACAGCTCACTGCAACCTCTGCCTCCCGGGTTCAAGCAGTTCTTGCGCCTCAGCCTCCCAAGTAGCCAGGATTACATGCTGCGCCACCACACCCAGCTAATTTTTTTTTTGTATTTTTAGTAGAGACAGGGTTTTGCCATATTGGCCAGGTTGGTCTTGAACTCCTGTCCTCAAGCTACCCACCCACCTTGGCCTCCCAAAGTACTGCAATTACAGGCATGGGCCACTGCCCGGCCCAGTTAGATAACTTTTGATATTTGTGTGCAGTCATGTAACTTCTACTGCAATCAAAATACAGAATAGCTCCTTCTCCTTATAAAGTTTCATTATAATTCTTTGCAATCAATCTTTCGCAAGCCCCAGCCAAGGGCAACCACTGATCTTCTGTCTCTATACTTTTGCCTTTCTCGAAGTTCATACAAATGGAATTATATAGTCTGAGTCTTTTGATTGTGACTTCTTTCACTTAGCAATAATGTTTTTGAGCTCATCTATGCTTTTGAGTAAATTTTGTTCCTTTTTTTTTTTTTTTTTTATTGCTGAGCAGTATTCCAAAGTGTGGATTATGGGCCGGGTGCGGTGGTTCATGCCTGTAATCCCAGCACTTTTGGAGGCCAAGGCTGGCAGATCATTTGAGGCCAGGAGGTCAAGACCAGCCTGGCCAATATGGTGAAACCCCATCTCTACTAAAAATACAAAAATTAGGCATGGTAGCGCACACCTGTAGTCCCAGCTACTTGGGAGGCTGAGGTAGGAGAATTGCTTGAACCTAGGAGGCAGAGGTTGCAGTGAGCTAAGATTGCACCACTGCACCCCAGCCTGGGCAACAGAACAAGACTCTGTCTCAAAAAAAAAAAAAAAAAAGTATGGATATGCTGAAAAATAAAAAATAATTCCCTAGTCCCCCAGTAACCTTTATTCTACTTTCTCTCCCTGTAAATGTGACTACTCTTGGTCCATCACAACAGTGGAATCATCCAATCTTTGTCCTTTTGTGACTGGCCTATTTCACTTAGCATAGTGTCTTCAGTGTTCACCTATGAGGTATCAAATTCTCATTCTTTTTAAGGCTGAATAATATTTCATTATGTTTGATTCAGGAAGCCAAGAGTTCAAGACTAGCCTGGGCAACATAGTGAGATCCTGTCTCAAAATAAAATTAAGAAAAAATTAGCCGGGCTTGGTGGTGCACACATGTAGTCCCAGTTAGTTGGGAGGCTGAGGTGAGATGATCACTTGAGCCCAGGAGTTCGAGGCTGCAGTGAGCTATGATTGCACCATTGCATTCCAATCTGGGTGACAGAGCAAATTTTCTAAAAATAATAATAATAATAATAATAATTTAATGCAATAAAACCTTAGCACATTGACTAGCATGTATTATGCTCTATATATTATGCATTAGAAATATTTCCAAGGCAGAAATTAAAGAAGAGAACGGGGCAGGATGAAGTATTTTAAGACAGGAGTTATAGGTATCAGTGCCTAGGTGATCATTAGCAATCTTTAATAGAACAGCAAGGTGAATATAATAATAATTAGAACTCCAAGAGAGTAAAAATTGTGTTTTATTCAGTGCTGTCTCCCAGGCTGGAGTGCAGTGGCGCACTCTCGGCTCACTGCAACCTCCACCTCCTGGGTTCAAGCAATTCTCCTGCGTCAGCCTTCTGAGTAGCTGGGATTACAGGTGCCCACCACCTTGCCTGGCTAATTTTTTGTATATTTAGCAGAGACGGGGTTTCCCTATGTCGGCCAGGCTGGTCTCGAACTCCTGACCTCAGGTAATCTGCCCTCCTCGGCCTCCCATAGTGCCGGGATAACAGGCGTGAGTCACCACGCCTGGCCTATTCAGTGCTGTTTTTACAGTGCCATAACAGTACCTAGCACATGGAAGTTATTAAATAAATGCACAGATAGATGAATGAATGAAGCAAGTTTCTGTCTTTCCCAACAGCTGGATGAGGGCATGTATTCTTTTCTCTCTCCTGTTACTGATCAATTTTTTCAAAGTCAACTTTTTATTATTTCAGAATAGCTTACAATGTATAGAAATGGTGTGAAGATGGTATAGAGAATTCCCATATACTCCCTCATCCAGTTTTCTCTGTTGTTAACACCCTGTATTACCGTGGTGATACAGCTGTCAAAATTAAGAAACCGACATTGGTCCATTGTTATTAACTGAACTATAGACTTTATTTAGATTTTACCAGCTTTTCTATTTGTAACCTCTTTTTTTGTTTGTTTTTTTTGAGACAGAGTCTCACTCTGTCGCCCAAGCTGGAGGGCAGTGGCGCCATCTCGGGTCACTGCAAGCTCCGCCTCCCGGGTTCATGCCATTCTCATGCCTCAGCCTCCTGAGTAGGTGGGACTACAGGTGCCTGCCACCACACCTAATTTTTTTTTGTATTTTTAGTAGAGACGGGGTTTCACCATGTTAGCCAGGATGGTCTCGATCTCCTGACCTCGTGATCCTCATGCCTCGGCCTCCCAAATTTCTGGGATTACAGGCATGAGCCACCGCATCTGGCCTGTAACCTCTTTTGTTCCAGGATCCAATCCAGGATGCCACGTTACATGTAGGCATCATGTCTCTTCAGTTCCCTCTGGCCTATGACAGTTCCTTAGTCTTTCCTTGCTTTTTATGACCTTGGAAGTTGTGGTGATCATTCATTTTTGCGAATTAAATCTTAACAGATCTCTTCTCCCTCACTTTGATCATGGCCATGTGGTCCCTTTGGCCTCAGGTGGGACCGCAGCACAGATTCTTCCTCTACTTGCTGGTGTTTATATCAAGTGACACACTCACGCTAGTTTACTCATTTAAAGAAAAAGTTTGGGCTATGCAATGGTTGGCCTCCTGATCTTCCTTGTTCAGCCTTATTTTGGGTTGTATAAAATTGGCATGCATGGCCAGGCACAGTGCCTCATGCCTGTAATCTCAGCACTTTGAGAGGCTGAAGCAGGTGGATCACGACGTCAGGAGATCGAGACCATCCTGGCCAACATGATGAAACCCTGTCTCTACTAAAAATACAAAAATTAGCCAGCTGTAATCCCAATTAGTGCCTGTAATCCCAGCTACTCGGGAGGCTGAGGCAGGAGAATCGCTTGAACTCAGGAGGCAGAGGCTGCAGTGAGCCGAGATCACGCCACTGCACTCCAGCCTGGGTGACAGAGCAAGACTCTGTATAGGTAAAGGAAAAAAAAAAAGGAATCTTCAGTCATCAGAATGTATGTTCAGTTAACCATCTACTATGAGGATTGAAAAGTGCCTTAAAGGTCGTATAATGTAGTCTCTAGGATAAATCATATCCACACACTATCCAAGCAGAACCACTTATGCTGAAATTTTATCTGCAGTTTGTGTCTGACTCCTCTCACAGGTCATTGATTAAATAGGTTTTTTGGAAAACCCACACATTTTATACTTGGGTTATAAATCACATGAAACCATCAGATCTGAAGGTAAAAAGTGCATGTTAGATTTGAGGAAATACAAGACTTATTACACAATGGCTATACTATTTAAATCTCAAAATGTAGGTGTGGAAAACTTGTTAAGATGCAAAAGGCTATATTGGTCAACTCAGGCTGCCATAGACTGGGTGATTTAAACAATAGACATTTATTTCTCACAGTTCTGGAGGCTAGAAATTCAAGATCAGGGTGCCATTATGGTTGGATTCTGGTGAGGGCTGTCTTCCTGGCTTGCAGATGGCCTGCTTTCTTACAGTGGCCTCACTTGGCAGAGAGAGAGAAAGAGAGATTGGAAATGATTTATGGGCAAGCCCATGATAGGTGTTCAAAATGTACACTGAAGGCATGAATTATGTCAACAAGGTCATTTCACATTTACAATTAAAGACCTACTCATTCTAATTCTTTTGTTTTTGTATTGTCAAAGAGGTTTTGAAATGCTTTTATTTTTGAAGAAGTAATAAGTTCGCATAGGAAAAACAGCTCCATTTGGAATGATTATCTTTTGTTTCTGTAATTGTCACCTGGGTGCTGGGATTTTCACGAAATCGGGGCTTTGCCCTGACTTCCAGTCTGGCTTGGGGGGATGGTTACTAACCTTGTGGATCAGTTCCCACCTGCAAGGACCATTAGCTCTGTCAGGGTACCACTTCTCCCCATCTCCTGCCCTCCTACCCTTGGTCTATGTACTACTGAATTCCTTTTCTGACAATGGCATTGAGGGAGATTAATGTATAAGAGAGAGGCTGGGTGCAGTGGCTCACACCTATAATCTCAACACTTTGAGGCCAGTGGATCACCTGAGATCAGGAGTTCAAGTCCAGCCCGTCCAACATGGTGAAACCCTGTCTCTACTAAAAATACAAAAATTAGCCAGGCGTGGTGGTGTGTACTTGTAATCCCAGCTACTGGGCTGAGGCAGGAGAATAACTTGAACCTGGGAGGTGGAAGTTGCAGTGAGCCCAGATCGCTTCATTTCACTCCAGCCTGGGCAACAGAGTGAGATTCTGTCTCAAAAAAACCATATATATATATATATATATATATATATATATATATATATATATACACACACACATATATATGTATATATATATATGTGAACTTATTACTTCTTCAAAAATAAAAGCATTTCAAAACCTCCTTGACAATAAAAAAACAAAAAAACATATATATATATATGACAATGCTAGCTGTCCTAGAAAAAATTCTGGGCAATGTCATTTTAGATAATACCATCAATGGATCTGTCATTCTTGAACACAAGTTTAAACTCTTTTCAAAGTTGATTTAAGTGTCATCTTTTGATACCAAAGAGAGGCATATGTCACCTGGCTGCCACATTAAACAAAATAAATTGCACCCTCCAGATATTCATTTAATAAAAACAAGTGCCTGCTTTGTTCACAGCATGAGATAGGTGCTGACAGAATTCAACGATCAGGAAGGTCCATTCTAAAAGAGTGAATAGACTAGCTAGAGGTATAATAAAGTTACATAGAAATTCTAGAACAAATAAAAACTTACATGTTCCTTTAGAGAGGTACAGGAATGTGTTCTGTGCATACATATGAAAGTTTTATTGTCATCTATATATTTTAAGGCAATTTTTGATTTTACAAAAGAATCTGTCGTAGGATTCCTCTAAATGAAAACCTTCCTGATTGAATTAAAACTGTCAGGAGGCTGGGCAAGGTGGCTCATGCCTATAATCCCAGCACTTTGGGAGGCTGAGACAGGTGGATCATCTGAGGTCAGGGGTTTGAGGTCAGCCTGGCCAACATGGTAAAACCCTGTTTCTACTAAAAATACAAAAATTAGGCGGGCATGGTGGCGGGTGGCTGTAATGCCAGTTACTCGGGAGGCTCAGGCAAGAGAGTCACTTAAACCCAGGAGGTGGAGGTTGCAGTGAGCCAAGATTGTGCCACTGCACTCCAGCCTGGGTGACAGAGCGAGATTCTGTCTCAAAAACAAAAACAAAACAAACCTGTCACTTGACCTACCACAAATGAATTTACATGCAGCCCTTTGGCCATGTGTTTACTGGCTAAAAGATGTCACTCCATAACCTCCTTTTATTTGTCTCCAAATTACAATGAGTTTAAGTGATAATTAATGTTAAGCAGCACCTAAAAAAGGCAGAATCCCAAGGTTGGAGGGGGTCACTAAACAGAGATTTCCATTTAGAAAAACAAAACAAAACAAATTCCTGTTCTCTATCTGAGAGCAGCTCCTAAACATGCAGACAAGACTTGACCTCATTCTCCTGTGTGTCTTTTCTGAAAAAATTCCTTTGTGCTCAGGGATATTGTGAGAAATAGAATTACATCAGTGAGTTGGTTTCTAATCAGCATGTGAACACCAAGTTCCAGATGGCAACGCACAGTTTCAATTTCACTATGTGCTGAAATTATTTATCGATCCCTATTAAATAGCCAGCAGCACCATATTCTGGACTAGACTTCAATAATTCTAAATGATTCAATCTGCTTTGTAAATATGGCTGCTGCAACCCGACTGTGACATTTCTGGGATGGCATTTCATTCTGTTTTGCCTCAGTGTATTCACAGGTGGCCAGTTCTTATTTACAGATAGAAACCTTCCACCTCGCTTCCTCCTTAAGATCTGTTAAGATGTGTTGAAGCTTTGAGAGTTCAGACCAGTCTCAATAATAGCAGAGATGCTGGTCTGGCAGCTGATGTCCCACTGGCTGTAGATCCCAATGAACATGAAGCTAAGAAAGTCAGCCCTGAGTATTGGGGAAACAGAGAAAGACAAGCAGGGTGGATGTGTGGTGGAGGAGGAAGGAATGAGGACGGTTCAGAACTTCGGGACAGATCAGGGCAGCCAGCTCACAGCATCAGGCCGGTGCTCAGATCTGTAGCAGTCAGTGCTCAAGGACAGACAGGGAGGCGTCTGGATCCAGGTGGTGGCAAGCTCATTAATTCATTTAAAAAACACTGATTGGGCATTGTCTTAGTCCATTTGTGTGGCGATAAAGGAATACTTGAGGCTGGGTAATTTATTTAAAAAGAGGTTTATCTGGCTCACAATTCTGGTGGCTGGAAGACTGGGCTTCTGGGGAAAACCTCAGGCTGATTCCACTCATAGTGGAAGGCAAAGGGGAGCACGTGTGTGCAGAGATCACATGGCAAGACAGGAAGCAAGAGAGAGCAGGAAGGTGCCAGGCTCTTTTTTTTTTTTCTTTTAATCTTGAAACAGTCTCACTCTATTGCCCAGCTGGAGTGCAATGGCGCGATCTTGGCTCACTGCAACCTCCACTTCCCAGGTTCAAGCAATTCTCCTGCCTCAGCCTCCCAAGTAGCTGGGACTACAGGCGTACGCCATCACGCCTGGCTGATTTTTGTATTTTTATTAGAGACAGGGTTTCACCGTGTTAGCCAAGATAGTCTTGATCTCCTGACCTCGTGATTCACCTGCCTTGGCCTCCCAAAGTGCTGGGATTACAGGCATGAGCCACCGCGCCTGGCCTGGGCTCTTTTTTAATAACCAGTTCTCCTGGAAACTAATGCCGCACCCTGGGCATTAATCTATTCATGATGGATCCGCCTTCGTGACCCAAACACCTGTTAGGCCCCGCCTCCAGCACTGGGATCAAATTTCAACACGAGGTTTGGGAGGGCAAATAGCCAAACCATAATAGGCACCTACTAAGTTCAGAGAAATATCTAGAGTCCAGGCAGATCAAGTCAAGACGCAGGGATCAGGAAACAAGGTTGCAGAAGTCAAGGAACAAGCCAAAGAGCTCTGCCAATAAATCCAGGATGAGGTCTCCGTAAATTCGTGTCAATTTCCATGGTAACTATCCCCAGGAAGCTTGCCATTTGGAGCAGGATTTCTCAAATAGTGGCCTCTAGATTTACAGCGTCACAATTTTGCTGGGTAAAGGGAGAATAGTGAAGCATGAAAAAAATGCAGATTCTAGTGTCGCAACCCAGACAGACTGAATCAGAATCCCTGAGGATTCTGAATTTCCAAGAAAATAAAGCCACTCACTTCCCATTGGGATTCTTCTGCAGCCTTTTGAGAACCACAGGTTTATAGGGATCTTTCAGTGACTTTGTTTTGGAAAATGAAAAAAAAAAATTTGAAAAAGCAGCTGCTGGAGTTTGGACAAAAGCTCAAATTTAAAAAGAATTCCCATAACCTCTTCATTAGATTTCTCTATCGGCACCACGGCAGTCATCGTTTACGTTACCGACACTGAACTTGTGAAATAAAGTGATGCTGGAAACGAGTCTGGAAGCCTGGCCCTCTGCACCCTCCTCCCAGTCAGAAGTACCTTTTTGTGAAGTGACACAATGTCCTGGTGAGACCGGCCCTTCCTGGAGGCAAGGACTTATGTTTTGCATATCTCTGTATGCCCCGCCTCTAACCCATGGCTAGAATATCGCAGAGGCTCAATCAATAATCAGTTAGCTCTGCTTTACAACCCAGCCCAAAATTCAGTGGCTTAAAACAGCTGTCTTGCTTTTGCTCAGGAGCTGTGAGCCAGCTGGCGTGGGTTGATCTACACTTGGTTCAGCTGAGGTTAGCTGTCAGCCACAGGTTGGGTCCATCTCTGCTCCACGTGTCTTGCATTGCCCTTGAACTAGCAGGCCAGCTAGGGCATGTTCTTCTCCTGGAAATGGCAGAAACCCAAGAGGGAAAAGTAAAATACATTGTAGCCTCTGAAAGTTTATGCACAGAACCAGCAAACCATCACTTTTGCCCCCATTCACTTAGGCAGAGGCAGTTACACGGCTAAGCCTGATGTTATGAGTAGGGGCAGTTTACATCTTGAGTGGAAGGAACTGCAAATTTACGTGGTAGAAATTATGGATTTAAGGAGGGATGAAAAATTGGGGACAATAGTTCAATCTACCACTGCTAGTAAATTTATGATCAAAAGCAACTTTTTGTATTTGCTGGAGGGCAGAATTCGGAAAATGGGGATGCAGGACAGTTTCAAGGTGACAGTGAATTACCAGCATCATAGATTCATTAGGAGGCTTAATATAATACTAATTACCAGCTCTATGTGCTGATGAAGACTGCTTTTGATAATTCGTAACATTTGACATTCTTTCATAAGCCAAATAGAAGAATATCGAAGGCCAATTGTAGTTTTACACACAGTAAGTAAACAAAAGAATACTCAGTCCTCACATTTTGCAACTCTGTGGGATTTGTGTGAGCAGTGAAAAGTTGTGGCTGCCCGCAATCACACATCTCCCCTGGAGAATTGAAGTGAAATCCCAGCCCTCATGTAGTTATGCCTAGAAATTACCTGTTTGTGATTTAACACTTGGTAAATGGCACTAAAACCTCATTAATCTTCAATTAGCCATAAATGGGCATCTCACATCTTACTACAGTTTCTTCATCCTGAGAAATCATTAGTCCTTTCTGGGCAAGGGCAATTATGTGAACAGGCAGAAAGCTCATCGCATAGCTTAAGTGCAGGTCTCCAGTCCATAATGGTACTTAAGACGTGGGGGCTGCCTGTGATTCTTGATTGATGCCGTGTGATAGCCTGGGCCTATTCCATCACGCCGTGATCCTCAGCACGCCTCCATCCCCAGGCTGCTTTTATCAGCTTGAGTGTTCCAAAAATCCCACTTCCTTGATTACTTCAGAGGACTGTTGCAAGGATAGAAAGGGTATGTCTGTTATTATTGGATCAGGATGTGTGTGTGTGTGTGAGGTGGGAGAAATCTGAGTCCCTGAATCCCCTGGAAATAAGAAATTGAAAATGCATATATATTCAGAATTTAAGGTATAAAAGGTAGAACTCTCCTTTAATCCAGTAGCACAAAATCCTCAATGTTCCTTGCATCTCTTGTGAACTCGATGGCCCTTGAATGACCTAATACATGTCTTGGTCCATCTTTTGTTTTTTGAGATAGGGTCTCTCTCTGTCACCCAGGTTGTAGTGCAGTGGTGTGACCACAGCTCATTGCAGCTTCAACCTCCTGGGCTGAAGCGATCCTCCTACCTCAGCAGGGAGTCCCTCAGCTACTCAGGAGGCTGAGGTAGGAGGAAGTTACATGGCCAAGCCTGAAGTTATGAGTTGGGGCAGTTTACATCTTGAGTGGAAGGAACTGCAAATTTACACAGTAGAAATTATAGATTTAAGGAGGGATGAACAACTGGGGCCAATACGGGACTGCCTGTAGTCCCTCAGCTACTCAGGAGGCTCAGGTGCTAACGATGTGCACCACCTCAGCCTGTAGGGACTGCAGGCATGCACCACCATGCCTGGCTAATTTTTATATTTTTTTGTTGTAGAGAGAGGATCATCTTATGTGCTCAGGCTGGTCTCAAACTCCTGGGCTCAAGCCATCCGCCTACCTCAGCCTCTCAATTGCTGGGACTGCAGGTGTGAGCCACTGCATCTGGCCCTTGTTCCATCTTTATGGCTTTTAAAACATCTTCTGAACACTTAGAACTTGCAGCCCTTATTGTTACAGTGCTGTGTGTGTGTGTGTGTGTGTGTGTGTGTGTGTGTTTCCTACCTGGCTTCCAGAAACCCAGCTCCTAAAGAGAAGTCCCCCAGCCCCTTCTGCTGCCAGCTGTTCTCTGCTGCGGGCCTGTCTTCATCAGGTGTTCCATTGACAGATGCTGCTTTTCTCCCCTCAGACCACCAGGGATGGCTCTACGGTTGCATCCACTGGAGATCAATTGAAGTTGGTCTGGATCTCACAAATGGAGTCCCTTTGCCACTGTGTCTATGAAGGATTCTGACTGCTGCTTTCACCAGTTTTCAGCACCACTAAAACACTTTGTTTCCTAATTAAGCTGTTTCCAGGTCTTTCCTGTCTCACAGTGGAAAATGACCTCTGGGCCATCCCTAGGAAAAAACATGTGTTACCACTGAGGTTTTTCCTGCATCAGACTGCATTAACCTCAAGAGCTCATGCTTGGATCATCATCCTTTTAAGGCAACTAAAATTCAAGTTCATTAACTATCCCATTCTATTCTGGCTCATTCTGCAGTTGGTCAACCTTGTTCTTTCTTAGAGCAGATACCCTCACCTCTTTCCTTGTGACCATGGGTATTGAGGGGAAGTTCTCTACAGATGGAATCTTTCTTTAGCATTATTTAGTGGGTTTGTATTCTCTTGTAAGTCTTTTTATCCCCTCTCCATTAAAAAGCAGCTTGAGCTATGTGTACGTGGTGAATTCATCACAGTGTTCTGGCAGGATTTCCAAATACAGGGAAAGGTGATTATAAAACAATTCCTTATGTGATAAACTTGGATAGACCGCCCACAGACACATTTTTGATTGTCAATGCTAATTGGGACAAGAAAGAACATGGGTAATTGAAATTCTCTGCTATCCCACAAATGCTATTTTAGTTGCTCTGGTGGTTTTTTAATGTGTCAGTTTAGCTTGGTTGAATTACATTTCCCAAAATTACCTTTCCTATTGGTTTTTGGTTGGGATGGGCCACAAAACAGATTCTTCCAGGAGATTTGCGGGGAGCAAGGAAAGTTGCAGCCATTGTGTAGCTCACACACCTTGTCACTCATCTCCTGGCTCACCTTGTTCGCATGAGGCAGGGGTCAGGCCTGCAACTGCTCCACCCTCCCAAGCCTGCCTCAGCTTCTCCCACTCCTGGGTATGTGTTGAGCTCTTGGATGGTGTTGGTTACTGCAGGACGTTCAAGGTCACCATCAAGCTCAGATGCAGCAAGAACTGAAAAAGACTTCGGTCCATTTTTGTGGGCTCCAGCTCAGCTCCTTATTGTGGTTTCACGTTGCTCTTCCTCTTTTTTTTTTTTTTGGAGACAGAGTCTTGCTCCGTCACCCAGGCGGGAGTGCAGTGGTGCTATCTCTGCTCACTGCAACCTCCGCCTCCCAGGTTCAAGTGATTCTCCTGCCTCAGCCTCCTGAGTAGCTGGGATTACAGGCATCTGCCACCATGCCCGGCTAATTTTTACATTTTTAGTAGAGACGGGTTTCACCATCTTGGCCAGGCTGGTCTTGAACACCTGACCTCATGATACACCTGCCTCAGCCTCCCAAAGTGCTGGGATTAGGCGTGAGCCACTGTGCCTGGCCTGCTCTCTTTTAATATCCATCTTTCCTTTCTGATATATTAATAGTTTGTATACTTGTCCCACCCAAATCTGATGTTGCATTGTAATCCCCAGTGTTAGAGGTAGGGCCCGGTGGGAGGTGACTGAATCATGGGGGTAGAATTCTCATGAATGGTTTAGCACCATCCCCTTGGTGCTGTTCTCACAGTAGTGAGTTCTTGCAAAATCTAGTTAAAAGTGTGTGGCACCTCCCCCCATCCTCTTGCTCCTACTTTCACCATGCAACATGCAAGCTCCTGCTTCGTCTGCCATGACTGTAAGCTTCCCGAGGCCTCCCCAGAAGCCGATACTGCAGCTATGTTTCCTGTACAGCCTACAGAAGCGTGAACCATTTAAACGTCTTTTCTTTATAAATTACCCAGTCTCAGGTATTTCTTTACAGCAATGCAAGAACAGCCTAACACACTTCTCAACTGCCCACCCTATAGACGTCAACTTCCCTCAGACACAAAAACAGCTTTTCAGAGATGACTTAACCAGCTCCCACAATTGCTTAAGGTTAAATACCTCTGTCAACCTAAATAACAGAGAGAAGCTCTCTAAAAGATACTTATTTGGGAATAAAGCACTGCAGTGGAAATATGCATGCAGCAGTAAACTATGTTGGTATTCAGGGCGGTTAAAGGAAGACAAAGATTTTTAAAGGAAAAAATAAGGAGGATTACATAATTGTTTTTGAAATAATTATCCTGGGCTACAGAGAACAATAGCAAGGGTGATGCCAGTCCGAGAGTGTATAGGCAGTCGCTGGGCAGATGTCCTTGCAGGAGTATTTTTTATGTAAGGTTGTGACAGCCTTTGTGCTAAGTTGTAGTTTTTATTGCTTTTGGTGGTCGTTTCTGTTAGCAGGCATGTAAGCATGAGAATCCTCTTCATGTCTTTCCCTGGCTCTATTTGTCAAGGTTATCTTAACATAAGTGACTCCATTTCGATGCTGACAAATTACATACCTCTAACAAAACCCTGTATATATCTATTTCTATCTCTATTATCTCTGTCCCTACCATCTCTATCTCTATCTTCATCTCATCTCTATATTTCTTTTTCTATCTCTCATCTCTGTTTCTCTCGTCTATCATTTCTATATCTCTAACACCTGTATCTATATCTCTATTTCTATCTTCTATAAAATCTCCTAATGCTTCTGCTTCTGGTTGACCTTGACTGATACAGTTGCTATGGTCAAATGACTCCCAACCAAGTAAGAAGAAAGGTTTTGAGGAGGTGAAGCAAATGTCCATATTCTGGAGTCTCTGGAGAAGAGGAAGGGGCCTTGCTAGGTGGAGCAATGCTGACTCCACTTTCCTGAGCTTGGGCTGGACTTTCACTTCCTGGTTCACAGGCTGCTGGTAAGATTTGTCTCTCTCTTTTTTTTTTTTTTTTTTTTTTTTTTTTGAGACAAAGTCTCCCTCTGTTGCCAGGCTGGAGTGCAGTGGTGCCTTCCGTGACGTGAGGCTTCCGTGACGTCACAAGGGTGCGCCCTCCGTGACGTCACAAGGGCGCGCCTTCGCCGACACCATAGAGGTGGGCCTTTGGCGGCGTCAGAGGCGCGGGTGTTCGGCTACGTCACTGGGGCGCTACGGTTCCTGGAGCTGGGCAGTCTTCTCGTCAGAGTGGGGACTGGTAAGAGCGACCTCCCCGCCAGGTCCTGTGTGTTGCCGGCTGAAGAAGGGTAGGTGAAAAATTCAGACCCAGCACAGTGTTTATGTTGGTCAAAAATAGAAAACTATGTCTGGCGCGTTCGAGGCGGGAGGACCCTTCAGGCCAAGAGCAGCCTAGCAACATGGCGCAACCCCATCTCTGTAGTCCTACCTCAGCCCCCCAGCTACTTGAACCCAAAGGTTCAAGGCTCCAGTGAGCTATGATCCCACCACAGCATTCCAGCCTGCGAGATTGAGGTAAACCCTGTCTAAAAAAATTTAAAAACTATCTTAAGTGTGCAACAGGGAGGGACTGCTAAATAAAACATGAGGCTGGCTAGGCCCTACTGTAATCCCAGCACTTTGGGAGGCCGAGGCGGGAGGATGGATGGCTTGGGCTCAGGAGTTCGAGACCAGCCTGGGCAACATGACGAAACCCCGTCTCTACAAAAGATACAAAAATTAGCTGGGAGCGGTGTGCACCTGGCCTAATTTTTGTATTTTTTTCTAGAGATGGGGTGGGGGGGGGGGCCTCGCTATGTTGCCCAGGCCAGTTTCGAACTCCTGAGTTGAAGTGATCTTCTCACCTTGGCCATCAGAGTTGTCGGAATTACAGGCGTGAGGGACAGCGCCCCACCTGGGTTAGGCTACTTAATAACATAAGAAAGTGCTCCGCCAGGCTCAGTGGCTGACACCTGTAATCCCAACACTTTGCGAGGCCGAGGCAGGTGGATCACCTGAGGTCAGGAGTTGGAGACCAGCCTGGCCATGGTGAAACCCAGTCTCTACAAAAAATACAAAAATTAGCCGGCCGTGGTGGCGCATGCCTGTAGTCCCAGCTACTTGGGAGGCTGATAAAGGAGAATTACTTGAACCCGGGAGGCAGAGGTTGCATTGGGCCGAGATCGCACCACTGCACCCCAGCCTGGGCGACACAGCGAGACTCCAAAGTTTGACACCAGCCTGGGCAATGTAGTGACACCCTGTGTCTACAAAACAAACAAACAAAAACCCAGGCATAACTGTGTCCACCTGTGGCCCTAGCTAGTTAGGAGGCTGAGGCAGGAGGATCACTTGAGGCCAGGAGCTCAAGGCTGCAGTGAGCTATGATAATCCCACTGCTTCCCATCCTGAGCAATAGAGTGAAAGCATGTCTCTAGATAGCTAGCTAGCTAGCTAGCTAGATAATTGATACGTAGTTTTGTATCAAATTTTTTCCCTGGATTTGAGCATGTTTTTCTAAAGTAGCATTCAACACATCAGCATTTTACAGTGTTATTATTTGTTAATATGATTATGTTTTTCTGAAATACAGTGTCCTTTACAAAAGCAGTTTTGTCTTTCAAAGCACATAGATAAGGCCCTCAAGTGAATTTGTCTGATGTTGGCGACCTTGGTACCATTTTGTCCACTTGATTGGAAAAGCCAGTCAATAATCTCAGGTCACTGTTGGCCTTAGAAGAAGAGCCCAAAGGCAACAAGCAAAGGCGCTGGTGTCCAGTCGCCTTCTAGAAGCATTTTCACTTTCCCTTAAGGTTTCCCTTGATGAACATAGAAGTACTGTATGTAGAATTGACCCAGTGCTGCCTTGGCAACTTTGTATATTAGGCCAAATTTACATTTCTTACCTTTATGAGAGGCACCCTGGTAGGCTAGTGGAGTTACACACAAAGTCTGATCTCAGCTGCACTGTCCAGAGATGCAACACGGTCCAATCAAATAACATTCTCTGAGCCCGTTTCTTTAGCTGTGAAAGAAGAATAACATACCCATCTAAAAAGGCAGCTTATTGTATTTGATTGGTCTTTTATTTTCTATGAAACTGTGTTTAACACAGTAATTATTTTCATTTGTATACTACATTTGTGTTGTGTTTTTGGTTTTAGTTTTGTTTTTGAAATGGAGTCTTTTTTTAGTGGTTTTTTTGTTTTGTTTTGTTTTGTTTTTGAGATGGAGTCTTTCTATTGTCACCCAGGCTAGAGTGCAGTGGCATGATCTCCGCTCACTGCAACCTCCACCTCCCAGGTTCAAGTGATTCTCCTGCCTCAGCCTCCTGAGAAGCTGGGATTACAGGTGCCCACCACCACGCCCAGCTAATTTTTTAAATATATTTTTAGTAGAGATGGGGTTACAACATGTTGCCCAGGCTGGTCTCAAACTACTGACGTCAAGTGATCCACCCGCCTTGGCTTCCCAAAGTGCTGGGATTATAGGCATGAGCCACGGTGCCTGGCTTGTTTTAAAATAAGGGTTTCTTGGCTAGGCATGGTGGCTCACACCTGTAATCCCAGCACTTTGGGAGGCCAAGGTCAGTGGATCACCTGAGGTCAGGAGTTCGAGACCAGCCTGACCAATATGGAGAAACCCTGCCTCAACTGAAAATACAAAATTAGCCAGGCGTGGTGGTGCATGCCTGTAATCCCAGCTACTCAGGAGGCTGAGGAAGGAGAATTGCTTGAACCCACGGGGCGGAGGTTGCAGTGAGCTGAGATCGCACCATTGCACTCCAGCCTGGGCAACGAGCAAAACTCTGTCTCAAAATAAAAAAAAGATTTCTTAAAATGATATTTTCAGTATTTTATAGATGATGTGTAAGCAGCAATCTTAATAGGATGTTACCAGACACTTTGCGAGACTGGCAGCTGATTTGATCCAGATGTCTCTAATTCTTTTTTCTTTTTCTTTTTCTGTTTTTTTTGACAGAGCCTTGCTCCGTCCCCCATGCTGGAGTGCAGTGGCATGATCTTGGCTCACTGCAACCTCCACCTCCCGGGTTCAAGTGATTCTCCTGCCTCAGGCTCCCGAGTAGCTGGGATTACAGGTGCGCGCCACCATGCCCAGCTAATTTTTTGTATTTTTGGTAGAGACAGCGTTTCACCATGTTTCATAAATAACATAGCCCTCTTTCTTTCCTTCTCTCTCTCTCTCTTTTTTTTTTTTGAGACAGGGTCTTGCTCTGCTACCCAGGCTGGAGTGCAATGGTGCAGTCTCGGCTCACCGCAACTTCAGCCTCCTGGGTTCAAGCGATTCTCCTGCCTCAGCCTCCCAAGTAGCTGGGATTACAGGCATGCGCCACCACGCCTGGCTAATTTTTTCTTTTCTTTTTTTTTTTGAGACGGAGTTTCGCTGTTGTTGCCCAGGCTGGAGTGCAATGGCACAATCTCGGCTCACCACAATCTTTGCCTTTCGGGTTCAAGGGATTCTCCTGCCTCAGCCTCCCGAGTAGCTGGGATTATTGGCATGTGCCACCACACCCGGCTAATGTTGTAGTTTTAGTAGAGACGGGGTTTCTCTATGTTGGTTAGGCTGGTCTCAAACTCCTGACCTCAGGTGATCTACCCGCCTCGGCCTCTCAAAGTGCTGGGATCACAGGCATGAGCCATCACTCCTGGCCTAATTTTTGTATTTTTAGTAGAGAGAGGGTTTCACTCTGTTGGCCAGGCTGGTCTCGAATTCCTGACCTCAAGTTATCTGCCTGCCTCGGCCTCCCAAACTGTTGGAATTACAGGCATGAACCACCATGCCTGGCCAGCTCTGTTTCTTTAAGCCTACATGTTTTGCACTTGTTAAAAGTATTTGAACGTACAATTACTCAGCTTCCCTTGTTTACGCGTGAATTTTGTATAATCTTAAATATTTTTTCCAATCTAAGCTTTATTTTATCCCGTTTCTTATATATTTGTATAACTTTAGGCGGCTATCTTCATTGAAAGTTTTTTCTCAAAAGCCTTAAGATAGAACATAGTTCTTGGCAGCAATTTGAAAGTTATTTGAGGAGAAGGGGAGACTTACAATGATGATTCAAATGAAGGAAACTAAAAAGTAATGAAGCAAGGCAGAGGAAAAAGCAGTATTCACTTGAGCACATCCCAAAAGAATAACATTTCAAATGTAACTAGAAAAAAGTATGCTGAAGTTCGCAATACAGAAATAATTATTAATAAGATAGCTTTAAAGCCCTGCTCAGCTTGTGAATGTTGGGAATTGACCCAGAGGTGGCTGTAACCTAAGATGGTTCCTTCAGTAATGACCATTTTTTCTTTTTCAGGATGATGATTATTCCCCACCTTCTAAGAGACAAAGACCAACGAGCCACCACAGCCACCAGTCCCAGAACCCGCCAATGCTGGGGAATGGAAAATGAGGGAGTTCAACTCTGGTAAGGTCTCAGCAAAATCCATGACCTTTTCCTTTATCTTCTGGACTCTCAATGTGACTGATGAAAGTTACCACATGCTCTGCAGGGGGAAGTGGTTTAGCATGTATTACTACATCTTAATCACATCTTTGTAAAGCCAGGAGCATTTTACAAGTCACGTTACAGACATTGTTTAAACATAGTCTGTATTTACCAAAGTATAGGACATTGTATCATCTCATATTAATTAGTTAGTTGGCTCAAAATTAGTGCTAATGACTTAGTAATTCAGTGATTTCTGTTAGCTTTAAAACCTTTATTTCAGAACTATTTCACCTCTTGGTTTTCATTTTTGCTGTGTGTCACTGCCTGCCGGCTGCTAATTTATTAACTCCCAGTGAATCATGTGTCCTGTGAAGGGACTGAATATTAGTGGCAATTTATGTTGATGATTTGTATTTTGAATAAATAGTTTGAATACATAGAACATTAAGCTTGTATACATTTTGAAAATAGTATTTTAATATTCTACTGTGTCATAGTTACAATGATTGGATATATATTGAATTTATATGTACTTTAAGTTGTTATATGTTTATGGTCTTTAGCATTCTAACGTGCAATTGTATATCTGTTAAGTCTTTTTTTTTTTTTTCAAGATTAGACTCTGATTTATTGAGGCATCTGTTTGATGCCACATTAAGTGGCCCAGGCTTTGTGTAGGGATTGAGGTTAAAGCAGGAAGAAGGGTGGTGAGAGGCGGGGTACCAGGATTAGGTTGGAATACCTGGGGGTGCTCTGAGGCTCCCCAAGTTTCCCTGGTCTTGGCCGGCTGTGCTGCTGGCCTGGGCATCTGATGGGCCTGCAAGGGTGGTCCAGGGGCTAGGGCAGGGACTTTGGAGTCACGCCGTTGGCTTTGAATCCAGACTCCTACACTTGGTAGCTGTGAACTCTCCATGCCTCAGGGACCTGCAGAACTGAGCTCTGTCTGAGCCAGGTTCCATCCAGGCACTGCGGATCCATCCAGAGGGGCACTGCCTCAGGTTGCTCGCTATTCACTGCCTTCTCAAGCAGACCCTTGTCTCCTTCTAGGCCCTCACAATCCAGTGGAGGAGACGAAACTCATCTGCCTCTGTCCCTCTGGGCACACCTCATGCCAGGTGCATCTGTGGACAGGGGCCATGCTCCTGGGCTTCCAAAGTTGGAGAAAGCTGCCAGGCTCAGGTGGGTACATCACAGCAGCTGCTGCCCTCTGAACACTGTGACAAAAGAACACTCTGGGCCTGGAGCCCTGGTCTGGGGCATTGGGCAAGGCTGTTGCACTTCTCTGATCCCATTTCCCCATCTGGAAAGTGCGCTGATTGTATCTCCCTGTGGGCACTAAGGGCTCAGTGTTAGCTTGAGAGCCAGCATCTGGGGTTTGGGCTGTAATTCCCCGTCAGCCCCATAGCTGCGGGGAACCAGGGACTTTGTTGGGATTACCCTAGGCATCAGTTTAGCTTCCTGCCCCTGGCTTGGGCTCAGCACCTGAAGTAGTCTAGGGGGTAGGTGGTCCTGGTGGGGGCTGGGGCTTTTACCCAGACTGAGGTCACACCCAGAGCCAGAAGTCTTGGTGCCTGCTCTGGGCAAAGGTGCCAGCCTGTGCGACAAGAGCGAAACTCTGTCTCCAAAACAAAAACAAAAAACCTTGCATCATTTCAAGGGGCTCACACCTCCCTAAGGGCCTGGTAATTGCGTGGCTCTGGCCTGCATCTGGCCCCGAGGGTGTAGGTAACACTTCACCTTACCTGGTTTCTTCCTGCCAGGGCCAATCTTCAGACCTCAGGACTTTGCAGCCTATCCCACCTCCCCTCTGGCCAGCCTTGAGCCCTTGTGGGTCCAGCACTTTTTCCAGGCTGTCTCCTGGTTGTCCTTCTACCTCGAGGCCTGGCTCATGCTGCTCCCCCTCCCACTCTCCAAGACCCACAAGGACCACTCCACACCCAGCTCAGCCCCATCCCCTCAGATAGTCCTTTCTCTTTCCTCAGGTGGCCAGGTGCATATCTTGGTGTGAGGACCTTCACTGTATCTGGGAATGCCTACTGGTCACCTCGGTGACAGAGACCAAGGCATTTACCTGATATGAATGTCTTGGTTCACTGTCTACATGGCTAGGGAGGGAGTCAATAATAGGCTTTTCACTTGCTGCAAGGGCCAGTTCTCCTGGCCCCATGGCTCTAGGGATGGAGGATGCCGCAGGAGATGCACCGCTCACTTCCCAGCTGAGGACTGTGGGTCATCTCAGGGCGATTTCACAGTCCCCACATGCCCCACCCCCTCAGCTCTGCAAATACCAAGCAGTGCAGCCTGTCTAGGGGATGATGGGCTCGAGAGTGCCCAGGTAGTGCCCAGAGTGCCCTTGGCAGGCCCCTCACCTAGCTGCTTCCACAGCTCTGTAGCAAGAGTTCTAACCTTTTTTGACCGTGAAGCCTGTTGTGGACTGTTTTCCCAGAAAGGCATGTACATGCTCTCCACACAAAACCTTTCATCGTGGCCAAGCACAGTGGCTCATGTAATCCCAGAACTTTGGGAGGCAGAGCCAGTGGGATCACCTGAGGTCAGGAGTTCAAGACCAGCCTGCCCAACATGGCGAAACCCTGTCTCTACTAAAAATACAAAAAATTAGCCAGGCGTGGTGGCAGCCACCTGTAATCCCAGCTACTCCGGAGGCTGAGGCAGGAGAATCACTTGAACCTGGGAGGCGCAGGTTGTAGTGTGGTGAGATCACGCCACTGCACTCCAGCCTGGGCGACAGGAGCGAAACTCTGTCTCAAAAAACAAAACAAAACAAAACCTTGCATCCTTTCAGGGGGCTCACACCTCCCTAAGGGCCCAGTAATTAAACCCTTTGGGCCTGAGGGTGAGAAACTTTGTCTCAGTTCTTCCCCGAGTGATCAGCCCAGGGGTAAGGAAGGAGAAGCCAGAAAGCAGGACCCATGAGAAGGGCCCCCTCCTCGAGTTTGAGGCCCACTCCCTCCTGCCCCTGCCTCTCCTCTGTCCAGGACTCCTCCCTGCTCTGCCCCACTCCTGGGGCCATAACCATGGGGAGCTGTGGTTTTCTACAGGCCCCTGGGCACAAAATGGGCAGGCTCACCTGGAGGCGATCAGAGTAACATGGCAGGAAGTGAGGGGGAAAGCCGCCCTGGAACTGCGCCTCTCTGCCCCCTGACGTCACTGGCGTGCACTCCTCCCTCCCCTCACTCAGGCCGTGGCATGAGTTCCATGTGAGCGCTGTCCTCCTCCCTCTGCTGCCTCTTTTTTTTCTTGGGGCTGCCATAACACTTTCCCTTCCCCAGCCCTGCCAACCTGGTGGGACATTGGGCTTCCTTCTCACACGGTCCTGGGGACAGGCCCATCCTTTATCATACCCACAGAGAGACCCTTTTTTTCTTCAGGACATGGGGAGCAGCCAGGTTCCATGAGTTAAATGCAGATCTGAACCAAGCTGGGATTGGGGTACACACTCTCCTCTACTGAAAAGTAGCTAGGGATTCCAACTAGGTGAGAAGGAGAGTGGGGCAGAGCCAGACCAGACAAGGACTGATCACCTGGAAAAAGCCTGCCATCAAAGGTCTTGGCAAATGCTGGGTGCAGTGGCTCACTCCTGTAATCCCAGCACTTTGCGGGGCTGAGACAGGTGGACTACTGGAGGCAAGGAGTTCGAGTCCAGCCTGGGCAACATGGCAAAACCCCATCTCTACTAGAAATACAAAAATTAGCTAGGCATGCTACACTTCTGTAATCCCAGCTACTCAGGAGACTGAGGCAGGAGAATCACTTGAACTGGGGAGGCAGAGGTCGAAGTGAGCCGAGATTGTGCACCTGCACTCCAGTCTGGGAGACAGAGTGAAACTGGCCTCAAAAAAAAAAAAGAATATGGCCTTGGCAGAGAGGGGCCAGCCCAGCAGTGCCTTCCCTTGGGTTTCTCCTGGGTAGGCCTCTGCCATGAGGAGGTGCTTCCTTCTGCCTGTCCATGGCCCACAGCAATGGAATGTCTGCTTCTGGGGGTTGGGTGGGAGACTGCTGGCAGAACTGGAAACCTTCAGGTGGGGTTTTTTTGTTTTGTTTTGTTTTCGAGATGGAGTGTCGCTCTGTCACCCAGGCTGGAGTGCAGTGGTGGAATCTCAGTTCACTGCAACCTCCGCCCCCCTGGGTTCAAACAATTCTCCTGTCTCAGCCTCCTGAGTAGCTGAGATTACAGGCATGTGCCACCATGCCCGGCTAGTTTTTGTATTTTTTGTATAGATGGCATTTCACCATGTTGGCCGGGCTGGTCTCGAACTCCTGACCTCAAGTGATCCACCCGCCTCGGCCTCCCAAAGTGCTGGGATTACAGGCATGAGCCACTGCGCCCAGCCTGGCCCTGCTTCTTTCTCTTTTTCTTTTTTTTTCATTAGCAGCTTAAAATTGGTGCCTTATTCAGACACAAGCAAAAGGACATTAGCCCAGCTTTGGAAATAGGTGTGAGCCCATCTATGATTTTCCTAGTTTCTCCTCCCCCTTTGCTTTTTGCTCTCTTGTTAGTATATTAATTGTTTTCACTCTCTGAATCTTTTTTCCCCATTTCTTTGGCAGACATTTTTACTTGTCTTGGAAGAGTAGGTGAAGAGCTGTTTTTAGGACTCTTTGAAAGGGTACAGTATGGGTGACAGTCTTGGCTAATGGTAACATCCAGGGAGCTGGGGTCAGCGTGAGCTGGAATCAGTTCAAATTAGCAAAGCACTGGCACTCAGTGGCAGGAATACAAGTGACTGCAAAGTGTTAAACACATCTGGAAAGGGCTGCTGACATCATCCTCAGAATCTGTGGGGAGTTCACATAGCCAGTTAAGACCCATTCCTCTTTGAACCTATAAAGATTCTTTAAAGAATAATACCCTTAGTGTCTTTCTAGCCAGCTTTCCTGCTCATTTATCTTTGAGGACGACATGCCTTGTGGAGCTCCACAGGCCCCAGAGGGGTATGGATTCTGCATTTGAAAGTGCTGAAGCTGAGAGACTGGGTCTTGGTGGACCCCAAGAGGTCTGTTTCTCCTCTACTTATTGTTCCTTTTTTTCCCAGCAGCTGGCATTGCTGTTTAAATGGGTTGTTCTTTGCTGTTTTAAGTTGTTTCCTAGTGGTGTGTCAGGATTTGGGTTTTCTGAATACTTTCCAAGCTGGTGACTTGAGTGGTGGTTAGGGAGGAACTGTTTTAGGGCTGTTCTGGAGCTATTGAGGTCAGGTGTCTAGATACTCCCAGCTTGTCTGTTGAGGAGAATGCTGTCCTCATTGTGCTGCCTTTGGTGGTGCTGTGTGTGGCTCTTTAGATGTGAGTGGAGGTGAGCTGGGGGAGTTAATGAGATCTTTTTTAGGTGCTTTTGATAAAGTAGCCTGCACTACAGGATTCACTGTGACTTTTTTCCTTAACCTATGCATTTCTCTCTGCTAGCTTTTGCTGTCTTTCTCATGCCTTTTATTTTCCCAGCTCCTCTTAGTTGAATTAACCTAAGTGCTCTGCTGTGGTTTAAATGTGTCCCCCAAAGTTTATGTGCTGGAAACTCAATCCTCAATGCAACAGTTGGGATGTGGGGCCTAATAAAATAGCCTTCATGAATGAGTTAATGTTGTTATTGTGGTAATAGATTAGTAATCACAGAGTGGGCTTATTATAAAACAGAGTTCAGCCCCTTTTGCCCTCTTGCTTTCTTGCACTCTCTTTTCCTTCTGCCTTCTGTAGTGGGATGATGCAGCAAGAAGACCCTTACCGGATGCAGGCCCCTCAACCTTGGACTTCCTAACATCCAGAACTGTTAAGAAATAAAATTTATTCCTTTCCTTTCCTTTTCTTCCTTCTTTCCCTTCTCCTCCCTTTTCTTCCCTTCCCCTCCCTCCCTCTCTCTCTCCCTCCCTCCCTCCTTCCCTCCCTTCCTCCTTCCCTCTTTCTCTCTTTCCCTTCCTTCCTTTCCTTCTTTTCCTTCCTTCCTTTCCTTCCCTCCTTCCCTTTTTCCCTCCTTTCCTCCTTCCTTCCTTTTTTCTTTCCTTCCTTTTTTCCTTTTTATAAATTATGCAGTCTGTGTTATTCTTTTATAGAAGCATGAAATGGACAAAGACTCCGTTTTCAAGAGCAAGCACTTTTGTAGTTTCTGAGCAAATTATGACTGCAAAGGAAGTTCTATAGGTAGCCTCAGATCCACTACCTAGGAAGCATGCTACCAAGCAGACCTAGGATCTAGGATTTGATCAAGTGCTGGGCAACATGATACCTCTGCAATTTAGCACCTCCCTATATACCTCCAGTTGGCTCAGCCCATCAGGGCTAAAACTACCCCTCATATCCTAGTGTCTCTTGTAGGCAGAAGCCTTGCCTAAACCCTAAGCTGCTTGGCTCACATTCTGTCTTGTGCTTTTTTTGTAGGGGTTTCAAATATACACAAAAGAAATATGTTGAACCTCCAGGCACCCAACCCGCAGATTAAGCAGTTACCTCCATTTTTCCAGATTTGTTTCATCTGCTTCAATCTCCCTAAAAATTTATGTTTGTACAGGAAAGACTGAATAAATAGCTAATTCTCCGCCCTACCTCTCATCTTAAGTCACTTTTCAGAGTAGTAAGTTAGTGACCTAGTAACCTTCCCTCTAATGACCAGTAGTTTTTTTTCTGAATACCATTATGAACTCATAGATTATTGTTTGCATTTGATGTATTTCAGGCCATTGCAGTCTTTATTGTTTTGGATGCTTACATTGTCTCATCTAGGTTAATAATTATCTCTTCAAGTTGACTTTCATGTCTTTTTGACGTGATCCTGTTGGACTTTGATGGCTTCCTTGCTTTCTGGCAAAAAAGATGTTCCAGGATCAATATACTGCACCATACATGGAGTCAGCCATTTCTCTAGGGAACCTTGATTCCTTTTAGTAGAGAACACAGTTTGAGGTCTTGGACTGAATGACTTTTGTGAACCTCCTCTCCTGAGACTACAGCCTGCATCCCTGCATATAACCGTTTGGAGCTCTTGCTGGGCACCAACAGATCTCCTAAAACTGCTATATAGTTCTGCCTCACTCTTACAAAGATTCATCTCTTGAGAGTTTTGTGCTCTACCCCCAGATGTGGTCTTTCTGGTTCTGAAGCTTTTGCTTCAGTCACCCTGAATTTTGCCAGCCCTATGCATGCTATACCTTGGATTGCCAACTTGCCCTCACTGAAGCCAGTTTCTCTGGTTAGAATAGTTGCCCCAACCCATGCCTAATACTCTAGTAAACAAGGTTCTACCTGGGCTTAGGTTAACTTTTGCTCCTTTGGGCCCTGTGTTCTACCAGCATTCCATTTATCTGAAACTCTCCCTCACCTTAAGAACTTATCTGTTCTTTAATGATTTACTGCTGCTTCCTGGGTTCGAAAGAACCCAGTTCAGGAGTTTCTGTTTTAGTTTGAGATCTTATAGGCCTGTCTCATCAGGTTGGTGTCAGCCCAGCTAGGATTAGGCAGAATTGGGTGGGGGCTGTAGTGCATCTTTGGCACAGCATGTACCTGTCTGACTAATTCTCTGTCTTTTCTTTCCTGTTGCAATTCATGGGTCTTAGCATCTTCTGAATGGTGTTTAGTAGGTCATCCTGTTGATTTCCTGCTAGGGAGTAGCATACTCTGGCTCTGTACCATTGGCCAAGGGACTTAAGGATAGGTGAAGGGCTGCAGTTTTGTTAAATGGAACAATATGAAGAGATGGCATTGTAAAAAAAAAAAAAAAAAAGGCTTGGCAGCAGGGCCCATTTGAATGGTTGGTCCTTGGCTCCTTTGTTGATATAGGCAGATCCTTGATGGGAATTTGGAATGATCCCAAATATTGTAGATCACTGGTACATCAAGTCATCCTCAAGGTTGTCTGTGTAACAGTCTTGAATGATATTTTGTCAGTCTTTGGAGATTCTCTGTATAGGGTTTAATCATTTAGTTATTTCAGTTGAGCCTGTTTAGTTTCTTTGCAAGGAGATAAGAAATGTGAAAGAGATGCAGATATTAGGGAAAAGAAGTCAGGAGCCTTGTTTCCCCACCCTCTACTTGGGTTCTGGAACTAGACTCATAGGTGAGTAGTGAGGAGCTGGGCCCAAGCACATTAATCCTAGTTCTAGCTCTGCTTTGCGCTCGCTCCAGTTCTTGTATCAAATTCACTTCAAGCCACCCAGAGTAGTAGGTAGAGGAGTCATTCAGGACCGTGCTTATACTTCATTGTATCAAATGGGAGATCCAGTAATTTATAACCTATTGTTTCTGGAGCCTGGAGATGGCTCTGCATAAGATTTGCTGAAGCAAATTTTATTACATTAGAAGAGAACCTAGCTGGCTGCATCCTACACTGGAAGCTTTTAGATGCTAATAAGGAGGTCATGTAAAGGTCACAGAATGACTCTGGAATCCATTCCCCGCCAAGAAAGAATAATGACATTCTATGTTGGCCTCTTTTCATTTCCCTTTGATTTTGAGTAATAAATTCTCTCCTCACTTCCCAGCTGAACTGTTTGGGAGTCTCTATTCCCTAGAAAGACTCTGGTGACATACCCATCAGATTAAATTAGGTGAAAACTCTTTGGCCTTCATGAATGTTGAAGGATTTCAAAGGGCTAATGGAAATTCTTCTAGAAGTAACTGCAACCTCCGCCTTCCGGGTTCAAGCGATTTTCCTGCCTCAGCCTCCCGAGTAGCTGGGATTACAGGTGTCCACCACCATGCCCAACTAATTTTTGTATTTTTAGTAGAGACGGGGTTTCACCATGTTGGCCAGGCTGATCTAGAACTTTTGACCTCAGGTGATCCGCCCGCCTCAGCCTCCCAAAGTGCTGGGATTACAGGCGTGATCCACCGTGCCCAGTTAAACTTCAGTTTTTCATGTTCCATGCATAGGTCAGGGTCTTAGGGAGTGATTCATTCTAGCAGAACTCCCTGGATTTTAAGGCAGATGTTCCATTTATTAATTGACAAAGGAGGCATATTTCTCCCCTGGTAACCCAAAGATTTAGGTCATTTTCCCAGAGACTCCATTTCCACTGTGAGGGTTCTTGGAAAACTAAGCAGAGGATGAGGAAAAGTCTGTGAACAAGCTTGCTGGTCTTTCCCTGTCCTACAAAAGAGCATACCTCTTCTGTAACCACAAGGCCCTTTTGATTAGTCAAGGCTGGACAGACTGAGAGAGAGAGAGAGAGAGAGAGAGAGAGAGAGTGTGTGTGTGTGTGTGTGTGTGTGTCTTGAGACAGGGTCTCACTCTGTCACCCAGGCTGGAGTGCAGTGGTGAGATCAGAGCTCACTGCAGCTTCCACTTCCTGGGCTCAAGGGATCCTCCTATTTCAGCCTCCAGAGTAGCTGGGACTATACGAATGTTTTACCGCACCCAGTCCATTTTCTAATTTTTTGTAGAGATGAGGTTTCACTGTGTTGCTCAGGCTGGTCTTGAACTCCTGGCCTCACGGAATCCTCCTGCCTTAGTCTCCCAGTGGGCTGGGATTATAGGTATGAGCCACCTCACCTGACCTGCGACGATTTTTCAGCAATGTAATTTCTCTCTTACAGACCCACCTAAGCTGAAGATTCCCTTGAGAACAAGTACTGTCCTGTGGTTTCATGGCCTTTCTTCCATTTGTGGTTCTTGCGAAGTGGAATTTAAATGACATCTTATCAAGATGGATAAACCCTAGTTTCCCAGTGCTGGAATATAGAAAATGGATGGACAAGTAAATCCCACTCAGTACCCATAGGCCAGGCATGGGGACCTCAACACACCTGAGCCCCAGACATCACCTTTCATTGTGAGTAGCTCTGAGATGACACTTCTGCTGTTCCCAATTCCAGCATTAATTGGATTAGATAGTTATTTTATGAAGAATTTTCATATGCCACAATCCTGACCGTATCTTCAAGTGAACAGAAAAATTCTATTAAAAAGTCAACCTTCTGTCTCACTCTATTGCCCAGACTGGAGTGCAGTGGTGCAATTATGGCTCACTGCAGTCTCAACCTCCTGGGCTCAAGCAATCCTCCTGCCTCAGCCTCACAAGTAGCTGGGACTACAGGTGCTTGTCACCACACCTCACTAATTTTCCCATTTGTGTTACATGTGGATTCCACAGGACTGACTTCAAAAACTTGAGTATGCGTGCATTTTGGTATACACAGAAATGGGAGAGCTGGAACTAATCCCCCCATATACCAAGGGACAAATTGTATCTGTTTTTACAATTATGCAGTAGGAGACATTATGTTCCATGACAATGGTAATTTTTAATGACAGTTTTTAATTGAGTGAAATTACCATAAAAATAATAATAGTAGTAGCTAATATTTACTGAGCTGTTACTAGGTGCCTATAAATAGCATAGATTTTTAAATTCTCCATAATTCTTCCTTATTTCACTTAACCACTCTATCTTAAATTACTCATGCTTGCCTCAGTAGCACACATACTTAAGTTGGAACAACAGAGAGATTGGCACGGCCTCTGTGAAAGAATGACATGCAAATTTGTGAAGCATTCCATATTTTTTTAAAAAAAGAGAAAAAATTTACTCCCAGATTTTCACTGTGTTTGTGCATATAACCTTTTGTTTAGGTTGAATTATATCCAAAGATGAAATTTCCAGAAGTGAGATTACTGTGAGTCACAGGGCATGAGCATTCTTATTACCCTTGATGTAAATTGCAAAGCTTTCAGGCATGGTGGCTGTCAGCCTGTAATTCCAGCACTTTGGGAGGCTGAGGTGGGAGGATTGCTTGAGGCCAGGAGTTGGAGGAGGCAGTATAATGAGTCACTGTCTGTATGATTTAAAAAAAATTTCCAAGCTTTATGCTAGAAGGCTTATATACATTTTAAACACCACTAATACTACAAGAAAATGGCCATTTCACTGCACCTTTGCCCACACAGGTATTAAAATTTAACAAGTTATTTTCTGTGTGATAAATGAAAGACCTCATATTATTACTTTGTCACCCATTCTTTTTTCTTTTTTGAGACGCAGTCTCACTCTGTCGACCAGGCTGGAGTGCAGTGGTGTGATCTCGGCTCACTGCAACCTGTGCCTCCCAGGTTCAAGCGACTCTCCTGCCTCAGCCTTCTGAGTAGCTGGGATTACAGGCACATGCCACCATGCCCGGCTAATTTTTGTATTTTTAGTAGAAACGTGGTTTCACCATGTTGATCAGGCTGGTCTCGAACTCCTGACCTCGTGATCTACCCGCCTCGGCCTCCCAAAGTGCTTGATTACAGCTGTGAGCCATGCGCCCAGCCTATTTGTCACATATTTTATCTTTCCTTATGTTAGCTTATTAGCTTTATTTCTTTATTGTCCTTTTTTTTTTTTTTTTTGAGATGAAGTCTCGCTCTGTCTCCTAGGCTTCAGTGTAGTGGCACAGTCTCAACTCACTGCAGCCTTGACCTCCTAGGCTCAGGTGATCCTTCCACCTCAGTAGTTGGGACTATAGGCACATGCCACTATGCCTGGCCAATTATTTTTATTTTTTTATTTTTACTAGAGACAAGGTCTTGCTTTGTTTCTTAGGCTGGTCTGGAACTCCTGGCCTCAAGCAATCCCCCCACCACCCTCTCCCAAAGTACTGGTATTATAAGCATGAGCCACCATGCCTGGGGTATCTGTGTCTTTTCCATTTATTTGTAGAGTTACTTTGTCTTTTACTAATTCAATGATCTGTTTAATCTTTTATTAAATTATAAAAATAATAAATACTTTTAAATAAGTGAAAAATGTCCTTCACTCTTGAGACCCATAATCTTATCTCAGGAAATAATTGCAATTGAGAAAATGGGCCATATCCTTCAAGATACGTACATGGTGATTGAACATCACTTCATATTTTCATATTTCGTGGACATTTGTGCCAATACCTGTTGATCTAGCTTAATCCTTTTCATGGTTGCATAATATTTTATTATATGGATGTATCACAATTTACCAGTACCAGTCAACTGCTGGAGGCATTTAGGCTCCTTCTAATATTTGCTTTGAGCTCTTTATATAATTAAAAATTAACTCCCTCAGCCAGGTGTGGCAGCTCACACCTGTAATCCCAGCATTTTGGAAGGCTGAGGTGAGAGAACTGCCTGAGTGTAGGAGATCACCACCAACCTGGTCAACATAGTGACACTTTGTCTCTACTAAAAATAAAAATAAAAAAATGAGCTACACGTTGCAGTGCACACCTGTAGTCCCAGCTACTGGGGAGGCTAAGACTGGAGGATCACTTGAGTCTAGAAGGTTGAGGCTGTAGTAAGCTATGATCGCACCATTGCACTTTAGCTTTGCTAAGAGCAAGACTGCATTTCTTAAACAAAATAGAAATTAGATGGGAATATTGCTCAAGCCCTGGAGGTTGAGGCTGCAGTTAACTGTGATTGCACCACTGCAGTCCAGCCTGGGCGATAGAGCAAGACCCTTTCTCTAAAAATAAAATAAAATAAAAATTAACCTTCTATCATATTTCCCAGTAACACCTTCCCTCCTACATTTCTCCTAGAAGCCCTTAAATTTTGTTTTTCACATATCGTTTAAAACTTTTAAGTGCTGATGTCTGTCTCTGTCATCCCTCTTTTTTTTTTTTTTTTTTTTTAAATGTCTTTTTGTCACTTCTAGCTGGACCTACCATGAAAGACTTCTGAATCCAGGAAGAGAAACTGACTGGGCAACATGTTATTCAGGTACAAAAAGACTTGGACTGTAACTCAAAAATGATCAAATAATAGTGCATGCATCAAGTGCAATGGGAAGCTCTTCTGGAGAGGGAGAGAAGCTTCCAGTTAAGGTGACATTGAAGCCAAGTCCTGTAAGATAAGGAAGAGTTGTATGAGAGTGGGGAGGGAAGGGGGAGGTGGAGGGATGGGGATTGGGCTGGGATGGGATGGAGTGAGCTGCCCAGGCAGGGAAACCAGCACTATACAGACCTGAACAATGAAGATGGCACATTTTGTTCAGGGAATGGTGAATTAAGTGTGGCAGAAATGCTTTGTAGAGACAGTAATTTGCTTGTATGGAATTTTGCCCAAGAGACCTCATTACAGTTTCTAATTTTTTGATGTTATCATGCATCACTGCCCTTGTCAGATAGTATCATGATCACAATAACATCAAGCATAATATTTCATTGATTCTCACAAAAACAGGTGGGTGCCACAGTTATCCCCATTATATGCACAAAATGATGAAGACTTGGGGTTAATGAGCGATTTGCCCAAGCTCACCTGAATATTAAGACTGAGTCAAATGTTAGTCTGGTCTGACTTCAATGCTTGCCTTGTTCATGAGCACCATGCATTGCCTCTCCTATGCAGTTAAGCAGGTAGACAGGTGAGAGAAGAGCCCGTGTGATATCGGGGGAAATTCACCCCGATATTTCATGTAGGTTCTTTTCTGTTTTCCCTGACTGTTGGCCGGTCTGAGAAATAAAGGAAAAGAGTACAAAAGAGAGAAATTTTAAAGCTGGGTGTCCAGGGGAGACATCACATGTCGGCAGGTTCCGTGATGCCCCCCAAGCCGCAAAACCAACAAGTTTTTATTAGTGATTTTCAAAAGGGGAGGGAGTGTACGAATAGGGTGTGGGTCACAGAGATCACGTGCTTCACAAGGTAATAAAATATCACAAGGCAAATGGAGGCAGGGCAAGATCACAGGACCACAGGACCGGGGCGAAATTAAAATTGCTAATGAAGTTTCGGGCACGCATTGTCATTGATAACATCTTATCAGGAGAAAGGGTTTGAGAGCAGACAACCCACCTGACCAAAATTTATTAGGCGGGAATTTCCTTGTCCTGATAAGCCTGGGAGCGCCACGCGAGCCCAGGGCTTATTTCATCCCTTATCTACGACTGTAAAAGACAGCCGTCCCCAAAGCGGCCATTTCAGAGGCCTCCCCTTAGGGATGCATTCTCTTTCTCAGGGATGTTCTTTGCTGAGAAAAAGAATTCAGCAATATTTCTCCTATTTGCTTTTGAAAGAAGAGAAATATGGCTCTGTTCCACCCGGCCCACAGGCAGCCAGAGTTTAAGGTTATCTCCCTTGTTCCCTGAAATTGCTGTCATCCTGTTTTTTTTTCAAGGTGCCCAGGTTTCATACTGTTTAAACAACTTGTGCAGTTAACGCAATTATCACAGGGTCCTGCAGGGACATTCATCCTCAGCTTACGAAGATGACCGGATTAAGAGATTAAAGTAAAGACAGGCATAGGAAATCACAAGGGTATTGATTAGGGAAGTGATAAGTGTCCATGAAATCTTCACAATTTATGTTCAGAGATTACAGTAAAGATAGGCCCAAGAAATTATAGAAGTATTAATTTGGGGAACTAATAAATGTCCATGAAATCTTCACAATTTATGTTCTTCTGCCGTGGCTTCAGCCGGTCCCTCCGTTTGGGGTCCCTGACTTCCCGCAACACGTTTCTCTCTACTCACAGACTTCTGACCAAATGTGTGTGCAGAGTTTCTACACCAGTTCTCCAACTCTCTGGATACCAACCGCGTATCCCACAATTCCATTCTGACACTACCTAGAGTTAGCGCAGAACCCACAGGTTAGGGGCTCAGTCCCACAAGACCACTCTCACTTCAGATGCCAGTTGCAAGTCCTAGGTTGTCACCTGTATTTTGACCAACCAGTTAGAAATCAGGGTTTCCCATGACCCTCTTCTTGAGTTTAATTATTTACTAGAACAACTCACAGAACTTAGAAAAACAGGTTTTTTTCTTTCCTTTTTAAGAGACAGGGCCTCGCTCTGTTGTCCAGGCTGGTGTGCAGTGGTGCAATCATTGCTCATTGAAGCCTCAACCTCCAGGGCTCAAGTGATTCTCCTGCTGCAGCCTCTCAAGTAGCTGGAATTACAGGGTTCCCACCACCACATTTGGCTAATTTATTTTATTTTTTGTATAGATGGGGTCCTCTTATGTTGCCCAGGCTGGTCTCAAATTCCTAGGCTCAAGTGATTCCGCCCACCTCTGCCTCCCAAAGTGCTGGGATTACGGGCATGAGCCAGCGCATCTGGCCACCTTATTTTCTATTACTGGCTCAATGTAATGGCTCCATCTCAGGAACAGCCAATGAAAGAGATGCACAGGACAAGGTAAGTGGGGAGGGGCACAGAGCTTCCATGCCCTCTGTTGGGCACACTACCCTCCCAGGACCTCCTTGTGTTTAGCAACACAGAAGCTCTCCAAACCCTGCTGTTTGGGTTTTTATGGAGGCATGATTGATAAAATCATTGGCCATTGGTAGTTAAGTCAATCTCCAGTTCCTTTTGCCTCCTGGAGTTCAGCAGGTGAGGCTGAAAGTTCCAAGCCTCAAAAAATGTGGTTGGGGCCAGGTGCAGTGGCTCACTCCTGTAATCCTAGCAGTTTGGAAGGCTGAGGCACATGGACCACTTGAGGTCAGGAGTTTGAGACCAGCCTGACCAACATGGTGAAACCCCATTTCTACTAAAAATAACAACAATTAGTTAGGCGTTGTGAGACATCCCTATAATTCCAGCTACTCGGGAGGCCGAGGCAGGAGAATTGCTTGAACCCGGGAGGTGGAGGTTGTAGTGAGCTGAGATTGTGCCATTGCACTCCAGCCTGGGCTACAAGAGCCAAACTCCGTTTAAAAAAAAAAATGTGGTTGCTTTCTCTGGCAGCTAGCCCTCCTCCTGAAGCAGTCTAGGAGCTTGCAGCCACCCTGTTAGCTCAACAGCATCCCACATGCATTCTTACCATGCTGCAGATCTGAAAGACCTTAGAGGCCCTTGTGTCAGGAACCTGGGACTAAGACTAAATATCAAAACAGAAAATGCTCCTATTACCTCTGTCACGAAGGGCTTTATAAGAGCTTTGGAAGCTCTATGCCAGGAACCAGGGGCAGAGACCAAATGTATATTTCTTTTCTTATATTGGAGACAGAGTCTCACTCTGCCACTGAGGCTGGAGTGCAGTGATGTGATCATAGCTCACTGCAGCCTTGACCTCCTAGGCTAAAGCAATCCTCCCACCTTAGCCTCCCCAGTAGCTGGAACTACAGGCGTGCATCACCATGTCCAGCTGATTTTAATTTTAATTTTGTAAAGGCAGGGTCTTCCTATTTTCCCCAGGCTGATCTCTAACTCTTGGCCTCAAGCAATCCTTCCTCTTTGGCCTCCCAACTTGTTGGGATTACAGATGGGAGCCCCCATACCCACCAATCACAAGGATCTTTATAAGAGAAGGAGGTAGGAGAGTCAGAATTAGAGAAAGTGATGTGGTAATGGAAGAAGAGGTCAGAGAGGGAGATTTGAAGATGCTGCACTTCTGGCCTTGAATATCGAGTCACGAGGTAAGTCAAGGAATAGGGGTGGCTTCTAGAAGCTGGGAAAGGCAAAGGAGCACATTCTGTCTAGAGCCTCCCCCAGAAGGAATGCAGCTCCTCTGACACCTTGACTTTAGCCTTAATAGACCTAGTTGGGCTTCTGGCCCCCAGAACTGTAAGATGGTAGATTTGTGGTGTTTGATGCCACTAAATGTAGGGTACTTTGTTGTAGCAACAACAAAAAATGAACATGAAGCTGGGACCTCATGTTACAGTTGCTCACGCCTGTAATCCCAGAATTTTAGGAGGCTGAGGTGGGAGGATCGCTTAAGCCCAGGAGCTTAAGACCAGCCTGGGCAACATAATAAGACCTCATGTCTAAAAAAAATTTTTTTAAAAGGCCAGACGCAGTGGCTCACGCCTGTAATCCCAGCACTTTGGGAGGCCGAGGAGGGTGGATCATGAGGTCAGAAGTTCAAGACCAGCCTAGCCAAGATGGTGAAACCCCATCTCTACTAAAAATACAAACATTAGCCAGGTGTGGTGGTGGGTGCCTGTAATCCCAGCTACTCAGGAGGCAGAGAATCACTTGAACCCAAAAGGCAGACATTGCAGTGAGCCAAGATCGCACCCTTACACTTTAGCCTGGGCGACCGAGACTCCGTCTCAAAAAAAAAAAAAAAAAAAAAAAAAAGCCATGTGTTGTGGCATGCAGCTGTAGTCTCAGTTCCTAGGGTGGCTGAGGCGGGAGGATTGTTTAAGCCTGGGAGGTTGAAGTTGCTGTGAGCTGTGATTGCACCAGTGTACTCCAGCCTGGGCAATAAAGCAAGACCTTGTTTCAAAAAGAAAGAAATGAGCATGGTGGGAATGGGGACAGATGGCAGTGTTAAGTAGAGTGGTCAGGGTTGGCCTCATAAGTGAATATTGAGCAAAAGTTTGAAGCAGGTGATGGAGCTGGCCAAGGTGCTGAGGGAAGAGCATTGTAGGCTGAGTCAACAGGATAAAGGCATTAGGAGGAAACTCTCTGGTGTGTCTGAGGCTCTGAAAGGAGGCCAGTGGAGCAAAGAGATAGAGGGAGCGAAGTCAGCAAGGAGGCCAGGGAGTTGCTGGGCTGGGATCGGTACAGATCGTGTAAGCCCTGGGACGCTATTGCTGGGGCTTTGGCTTTTACTCTGACTAAAATGGGAACCACCGAGGGCTTCTGAGCAGAGAGGCGATGTGATCTGTCTCCTGATTTAAAAGCACGACCTGGCTGCCAAGTTGAGAAAGACTATGGGAAGATTTGGGTGGAAGCATGGGGGCCAAGCTGTGGCAACATCCCGCTGGGAGATGATAGTGATCCTGACCGGGTTCACGGTGGTGGTGAGAGATGGTCAGAGCCTGGATACATGTTGAAGTCAGTCAGTAGGATTTCCTGACAGACTGGATGTGAGCTGTGAGAGAAGGCAGTGGTCAAGGTTGAGTTTGATTCTGATTGAATTATTAAGTAATTTTAAAAAACACTACTGCCTTTCCCAATCCTACCAAGTAAAGGATGCTAGATAAAAGAAATCTCAAGTTAGGCCAGGTGCAGTGGCTCACACCTATAGTTCCAACAGTTTGAGAGGCAGAGATGGGAGTATGTTTTAAGGCCATGAGTTTGAGAGCAGCCTGGGCAAAACAGCAAGACCTCCTCTCTACAAAAATAAAAAAAATAAATTTAATAAAATAAATATAGCCAGGCATGACGGTATGTACCTATGGCCCCAGTTACTCATGTGGCTGAGATGGGCAGATCTCTTGATTCTAGGAGTTTGAGGCCAGCTTGGGCAACATAGCAAGACTTCTCTCTCTACAAAAATGAAAAAAATGCCTGACATGGTGGTACTTGCCTGTATTCCCAGGTATGGGGGCAGCTGAGTCAGGAGCATCTGTTGAACCCAGTTGGTCAAGGTTGCAGTGAGCTATGATTATACCACTGCACTCCATCCTGGGTGACAGAGTGGGACCCTGTCTCAAAATACAAATACAAATGAAATCTCAAGTCAGACCAGTCCCTTCTAGGCTATGTAGGCCTTGTAACCACATAGCTGCATGATCGGGTTTGTGTGGCTGTGGATGAGGAGACCCCTGTCCAATTGTTGGCTATGTAATCAGTTTATTTTTCGATATAGTAGTCAAATATATTTCATCATACTTGATGGTCTCAGATATGTATGGATTTTGGAATTCCCCTTGGAACAGGTTGTAACATCTTATTGGCTCCATAATTCCATAATTTTTTTAATCTGATGAGTTTTTAATAAGATCAGAATTGATATTAGACTACTTAATCGGTTTTGTTAATGAGAAAATGAAATTGTGTTGTTTGCATTTTATCCAAGATGGGTGTCATATTGGCTAAATCTCATCAATACTTGAACAAATGCAAAATTAGAGCTTCTTTATCATGAAACACGATGTAATTCTTGAAGAAGATGCCATTTCTTTTTTTTCTTTTTTTTTTTAAGATAAGAGTCTTTCTCTTGTCACCCAGGCTGGAGTGCAATGGTGCGATTTTGGCTCACTGCAACCTTCACCTTCTGGGTTCAAGCAATTCTCCTGCCTTAGCCTCCCGAGTAGCTGAGATTACAGGCGCCCGCCACCATACCCAGCTGATTTTTGTATTTTTAGTAGAGATGGGGTTTCACCATGTTGGCCAGGCTCCTCTGGAGCTCCTGACCTCAGGCAATCTGCCTGCCTCAGCCTCCCAAAATTCAAGGAGTACAGATGTGAGCAACCACGCCCGGCCTCCATTTCTTTTTTGTAGTCTTTAATAAACAGCTGCTATCATTGCAGACTTGCTATTTAGGCACTTAGGAATTTTTCACTAGAAGGCATGTAAATAAAGACCATGGGCATTTGTAATGAATTTAGCATTCATTCTTTGACTACATGACTGTCCCCAGAGCTGTAACTTTATTGAATTTTTTAGAAGCCATTTAGCTAGCAACTGAGCCTAACCAGCCACTCACCGTCATTATTCAGTGCTCTTTTATTATTGTCTATTTCTCCTCCAACTTGGCTGCACTCATAAAGTGATAAAAACTTGCATTTGTTTTCTTTCCTTTTCAGAGACAGCGTCTTGCTCTGTTGCTCAGGCTACAGTACAGTGACATGATCATGGTTCACTGTAGCCTCAAACTCCTGGGCTCAAGCGGTTCTCTCACTTCAGTCTCCCAAGTAGCTGGGACTACAGACATGTGCCACCATGTCCAGCTAATTTTTTATCATAGAGACGGGATCTTGCCACGTTGCTCCAACTGGGCTCAAAACTCCTGACCTCAAGTGGTCCTCCTGCCTCAGCCTCCCAAAGTGCTGGGATTACAGGCAGGCATGACCACCTGTGCCCAGCCCCCTATTATTATTATTTTAAATAATAGCTTTATTAAAATATTCACATACCATTCACTTTATTTATTGAAATCTGCAATTCAGTAGGTTTTAGAATATTCACAGAGCTGTGCATCGATCACCACAGTCACTTTTAGAACGTTTCATTACCCTATAGAGAAATCCATACCCCTCAGCCACTACCTCCTACTCTCCCCACCTACCTTTGCCCCCAGCCTTAGGCAACCATTGATTAATTTTTTTGTCACTATAGATTTGCCTAATCTGGACAAATAGAATTGTACAATATGTGATCTTTTGTGGCTTTTTTCCCCTCTTAGCACAGTGTTTTCAAAGTTCCTTTATGTCATAGTGTGTATCAATATTTCATTCCTTCTATGGCAGTATTCCATGGTAGAGACACACTGCATTTTGTTTATCTGTTCATCAGTTGGTGGATATTTGGGTTGTTTCCATGTATTCCATGTATTGGTCATTATGAATAATGCTGCTATGAAGATTGTTGTACAAGTTTTTGTGTGGACATATATTTTTATTTTTCTGGGATATATGCCTAGGAGTGAAATTGTTGCATTATAGGATGACTGTACATTTAGCCTTTTGAGAAACTGCCAGACTGTTTTCTAACGTGGCTACACCAGTTGGGTGCAATGGCTCACACCTGTAATCCCAGCTACTCAGGAGGCTCAGCTAGGAGGATGGCTTGAGCCCATGAATTCAAGACCAGCCTGGGCAAGATAGTGAAACCCTGTGTTGATTTTTTAAAAATCCAATTAAAATGACAAGAAAAGAAATACCCAAACAAAATGGTTACACGATTTTATGTTCCCACCAGTAATGTATGTGGGTTCCAATTCCTCCACATCTTCACTGACATTTTTTTTTCTAGATAGGGGCTTGCTCTGTCTCTCAGGCCGCAGTGCAATGATGCCATCACAGTTCACTGCAGCCTTGACCTCCCAGGCACAAGTGATTCTCTCATCTCAGCCCCCTGAGTAGCTGAAAATTACAGGTGTATGCCACCATGCCTGGCTAATTTTTATATTTTTTTTGTAGTGATGAGATTTTACCATGTTGCCCAGGCTGGTCTCATACTCCTGGCCTCAAGTGATCTGCCCACCTCAGCCTCCCTAAGTTCTGGAATTGCAGGCTGCCACCATGCCCGGCCTTCACCAACATTTGCCATTATCTGTTTTTTTTTTCTTCCTTTATACCTTAAAGCAGTATAAGAACAAGTGTCTTCAATTATAGGAAACAGTATAATCCCAGGGCATTGGGAGGCTAAGACAGGAAGATGTCTTGATGCCAGGAGTTTTTTTTGTTGTTGTTGTATTTGTTTTTGTTATTGTTGTTGTTGTTGTTTTTGACAGAGTCTCGCTCTGTCACCCAGGGTGGAGTGCAGTGATGGGGTCCACTGCAACCTCCACCTCCCAGGTTCAGGTGATTCTCCTGCCTCAGCCTCCCGAGTAGGTGAGACTACAGGTACACGCCACTACTGCCCAGCTAATTTTTGTATTTTTGATAGAGTCAGAGTTTCACCATGTTGACCAGGCTGGTCTCGAACTCCAGACTTCGGGTGATTTGCCTGCTTTAGCTTCCCAAAGTGCTGGGATTACAAGCATGAGCCACCATGCCCAGCCTGATGCCAGGAGTTTTAGACTAGCCTGGGCAACCTAGCAAGACCTTGTCTCTACAGAATACTTAAAAATTAGCCAAATGTGGTGGTGCCTGTGTATCGTCTCTCTCCCTCTCTTTTTTTTTTTTCTAACTTTTTGTGACATGGTCTGGCTCTGTCACCCAGGCTGAAGTGCAGTGGTGTGATCATGGGTCACTGCAGCCTGAAACTCCTGGGATCAAGTGATCAATCCTCCCACCTCATCCTACCAAGTAGTAGGGACCACAGGTGTATGCCACCCAGGTCTTGCTATGTTGCCCAGGCTGGTCGTGAGCTCCTGGCCTCAAGCAATCCTCTCACCTTGGCCCCCCACAGTGCAAGGATTACAGGTATGAGCCACCATGCCTGGCCCCTACCCTGCCTATTGAGAACCAAAAGAAGGATCCAAATTCTCCTTAGCTCAACTCGAGCCATTTCCTGATTGCTTCATCAGCAAGGAGCTGGTTATTGGGCTGTCCAGGCCTCCCAAGCAGCACAGAAATGAGGTGAAGGAGTTTTCCTGCTGCTCCACTCTGTAAGGAGTTGGAGGGTGATGTTTACTCGTTTGCAGAGAGAGATGCCTTGTAGGCACCTCAGGATGGAGAGGACCCTGATTCCAATGTCCTTTTTTTCTTTAGAAACAGGACCTTGCCCTGTCACTCAGGATGGAGTTCAGTGGTCCTATCATGGCTCATTATAGCCTCAAACTCCCAGGCTCAAGCAATCCTACCATGTCAGCCTTCCCAGTAGCTGGGACTACAGGTAAGCATCGTGACACTCAGTGAATTTTGTTTTTATTTTGTTGTAGAGATGGGACCTCAGTATGTTGCCGCGGCTGACCTTGAACTCCTGCACTCAAGGGATTTTCCTGCCCTGGCCTCCCAAAGTATTGGTATTACAGGCATGAGCCATTGTGCCCACCGTCTCTGGTTCTTAACCTTCTGCCTCCCTCTTCCAGTTTTAAAGAATGCTTGTAATTACATGGGCTCTCCT